>NC_000002.12:115671436-115974466 GCF_000001405.40 Homo sapiens
GTTTTCATTCAAAGTCTAGTTTTGTGCTAGTTCATTTGGTAGCTTTTAGCCTCAAATAGCTATTGAGCACTGGTAGCATGGCTAGTGCTACATTTTGAAATAACAATATTTTAGATATGTTACATTAAATAAAATATATTATTAAAATAAATTACAGCTGTTTATTTTCAGTTTTAATGTGACTGCTAGAAAATTTATAACTATAATTGTAGCTTGCATTCTATTAGACAGCACTGACTAGATCAATCTGCAGATCTAGAAATTTAGAAAGCCCTTTAGATTTTAAATCTTCTAAACCGATGCCTACAAAACACCAATATTTAAAATCATTTTCTTTCTCTTAGCTAACCAGCAGCTTTGTGAGAATTTTTATTCAGCATTTCTAGAGACCAGCAGCTTTGTGAGAATTTTTATTCAGCATTTCTAGAGAATGCTGAAGTCACTGAATCTCACCACTTGTGCCCCATCTGTATTTATGCAAATGGAATAGTGTGACAACTGATATGTAAAACAATATATTTTATTATGTGCATATTCTGTTATTCATAGTGTATTCAAAACCACTTATAAGGCAAAAGAACTGGTAGATGAGATTGTCTACCATCATATACTCAGTATTGACAGCTGAGAACAGTTTTCAGTAGTAGAAATATGTGCATTTTCTTGAGCATAACTAGTGGAATGTTGAAAAAGTAGTACTCATTGAGGAATTATGCCCTGTATTTGAAAATCTTTTAGTTATTCCATTATAGACCTTGGTGTGCTTTTGAGGTGCTCTTGAAGTGATAAAGTCTTTGTTATGTTGGTTGGTTGGCTGGTTGGATGGTTAATTAATTTGGTATCTTGGTGTCATATTTCATTAGCAGACACACTTGTACAAAATACTCTATTTTTTTTTCCTATGACCTAATCAGGTCATTTTGTTTGTGCATCAAGAGGCATGATACCCATTTCATGTAAATCATTTCTAGATAGTTAGAACATAACTGTAAAAAATATTGAAAATGAAGGACAAGGGCAAGAAAAAAATGAGCTCTTTAGGAATTAGAACAATTATTATTTTCCTACAGATAGCCTAAGAAAATGATGCACAGTTAAAAGAGACTAACTACAACATTTAAAAATTTTTATCTTGTCCCTGATGCTTTCGTTTCCTTCCTTGATTGATTGTCATCATGGCGCCCCTTCTTTCTTTCTTTCTTTCTTTCTCTCTCTCTTTCTTTCTTTCTTTCTCTCTTTCTTTCTCTTTCTTTCTTTCTTTCTTTCTTTCTTTCTCTTTCTTTCTCTTTCTCTCTTTCTCTCTCTCTCTCTTTCTTTCTCTTTTTATTGAGACAAAGTCTCACTTTGTCACCCAGGCTGGAGTGCAGTGGCCTGATCTTGGTTCACTGCAACCTCCGCCACCTGGGTTCAAGTGATTCTCATGCCTCAGCCTCCTGAGTAGCTGGGACTACATGCAAGTGCCACCACACCTGGCTAAGTTTTTTGTATTTTTAGTAGAGACTGGGTTGCACCACGCTGGCCAGGCTGGTCTCAAACTCCTGACCTCAGGTGATCCGCCTGTCTTGGCCTCCCAAAGTGCTGGGATTACAGGTGTAAGCCACTGCGCCCGACTATCATGGCTTATATTTTAAAAAGTAGTTATGCAGTTATATATAACAATTAAAACCCTCGCCTACATAGCTTAATATGAGTCTCTGGAAAATTTTTTCCTCTACTCTCTCTCCAAAACAGAACAATCATTAATGATATAGTTTGGGATTTAATTGATATCCTTTGTTATACTGTATTTCCAATGCAGCCAAATGCGATTTTATTATTCAGCTGGCTATCTTTTATTCAATGTCAGGATGAGTTAATCACTTTCTTTCTAATAGTTACCACATATCAGTGAGTTAATGTCATGATGAATATATCCAGAAAGGAATAACATAGGCTAAAATAGAATATTATAAGAAATATTCTCTATCTGCCTGTTTCACTTCAAGTATTATAATATTGAATGCAATTGCTAATTAAAAGTTTAGGGAGTCAAGACATGCCTAAGAGTACCCAGATAATTGACCTAGATAATCCTAATAACAAGTTAGGTGCCTTAACCAAGTCATTGAAAGAATCGTATTTCTTCTGTCCAGTCGTGTGTCAGCCACTAGTTGTTAAATATCTCCTGATACATTTCTTAATTCCTCACTCTGTTTCCTAAACTGTTCGGTATGTAATTGTTACCTGGACTCTAAAGTTTCTTTTTGTATGGACTAGGTGTGATATTTCAAACCTGTGCTTTTTACTCATATTTTGGGTTCTGACTGTGATATAGCACTGGGAGGAGATTGTAAAACATCTGTTGAGAGTCACTGCCTTATCTATAGTCTGAACTAAAAATGTCTCTCTTCAGATGACTCCAAGAGTTCATATATTTATAAATTGTATCTAATGATTTTTATGATTCGGAAAATTTGAAGAACGTCAGAGTACACTTTAAAAATGGAGGAAAGTGGCCAGGCATGGTGGCTGACGCCTGTAATCCCAGCACTTTGGGAGACCAAGGCGGGTGGATCACCTGAGGTCAGGAGTTCGAGACCAGCCTGACCAACAAGGAGAAACTCTGTCTCTACAAACAAAACAAAACAAAACAAAACAAACTAGCTGGGCATGGTGACGCTTGCCTGTAATCCCAGCTACTTGGGAGGCTAAGGCAGGAGAATCGCTTGAACCTGGGAGGCAGAGGTTGCAGTGAGCCGAGATCATGCCATTGCACTCCAGTCTGGGCAACAAGAACAAAACTCCATCTCACAAAAAAATAAATGAGTAAATAAATAAATAAATAAATAAATAAAGGAGGAAAGGAAAATTTGGAGTCATAAAATCAGTTTTCTAGTGTCAACATGGCTTTTGGAATCAAGCACAAGTGGGCACAGAAATAAAGAAAACAGGCCTACATACTTCATGATGTTTTTTTTTTTTTAAGATTTTTTTCTTATTTTTCTTATTTTTGCTGTAAATCGTATGTACTCTCTCCACCTTGCCGGCAGTTACATGCTTGTGACATGTATCCTTCCTAAGAGGGAAAAAATGTTAATTACTGAACCTCAGATTCTGATGCCTGGTCTGATTTATAGTTTATGGGTGATGTGTTTGGCATTTTCAAGGCTCAGTTGGTTTTGTTGAGCTTCAGGACTGAAGACTTGGTCCCTTAAAGAAGAACATTCTGCTTTTAGTAATAACCAGGTTAATGTGGGCCACATGCCAGTCCAGCTGAATATGCATGAAGTGATTGAAATTGAAAGTCAGTTCCTTACATGTTTGAGTTTCATGCTATGAGGAACCTTACAAATAGAGGTCAGAGGGATTTTTATGTTGAAAATCAGTAGAGTGTTACCTTTGCTATGGAAGAAAACAACTTTCTTCCGATATTAATGTCAGCATTAGAGTAATTGCTCTGTGAAACTCTGTCTCTAGAGTTCCATTCTCTCTTGAACAACAAATCTTTATCATCACCTTAGTATTCAGGTCATTTTTCATAAGTAGCACATAAAGAACACATTAATCTTTATAGATGTCTGCCTATATTTTTATCTCAAGGTTAGTTATTGTCAAATATTGTCAACCCACAGCCTTTTCCTTTGCCAAGAGTTCTCTATTAACTCCTCCAATAACCTCCCATCTTTTAAAATAAAAACATTGATTTTCCCTCAAAGATGTTATCATTACCTGGAAACTGAGGCAAACAAAGTTAAGTCATGTGTTCAAGTTTTCAGTGTAAATGCTGAACCAGACACACAATCCACACATATATTTTAATCCACAAACTCACTATTAAAGTTATAATGCAGACTTTGACGAATATGACGAGCAACATATTAATTAAAAACCTGAACAAGTAAATAATGTTCATGACCAATATAAATGGATGCTTTAAAAAAAAATGACTCAAACAGATGTCATCAAGATGGCTTACTAGAAGCCTCTAGCACTCACCTCCTCCACAAAGAAGAACCATAACAGCAAACCACACACATTGAATAGGATGTTTAAGGGAGAACAATGAAATTCAGCAAGGAAGTGATGAAGACCATCTGAGGCATGGAAGCTTGAGATGGTAGCATAGAGAGGGAAGCAAAGAATCTGGCCAAGATTGGCTCAGAGCCAAGAGGTACTCCCCATTTCTGAGAATAGGTGAGTGGGGAATGCCCCAAAGCCCACATTTTGACAACAGATACCTGCAATTCTAGCTATAGTAGAGCCCCTCAGGCCTCATAGGCCCTAAGTTCACCAGAGGGAGTTGCCTGGAGTTCATAGGATTTTATTATCCCAGAGAAAAAAAATTAATGCTAGATCACCTTCACTCGTTGGGACCCAGGTTATTGCAGCACAATGACATTTTGAGAGCATGGTCACCATCAGAGTACATCCTTCCCTGAGGACGAATAGCCCCTGCATTTCCACATCCCTGGGGCCTGACATCCATCCCACATCCATTCAGAGGGTTGCAGTGTTGCGCCACCAGCTGGACCCAATAGTTCAGCTGTGACTGTTGTACTGAAGCACATGCAGGACCCTCCATCCTAGAGTATAAATAGTCTAGCACAGTGAGGAAGCTTTCCCCCGGACGGAGAAAGCTGACATGCATATTCCCCAGAGCCTTCAAGCCACCAGTTCAAGGCATAACACCACAACCAGCAATTACATTTACTCCAGCAGCAGAGATGCCATGAACTTGTGCATTTACTTGAAGGGTCTGAAGGCTGGTCTGCCTGGTATCCCCACCTCTGAGCAAACTTGTGCCATGGCAAATAATCACAGAATGGCCACAAAGGCACTTAGAGACACTGCTGACATTGATTACCAAATAATTTTTATAGAGACTATATTACTGTGCCCACTCAGAACCAAAGCCAAAGTATTTTATCCAAGTAAAACTGTAGGACACACATAGAGAAAAAGATCTTTCCCTATAAAAGCTACTTCATAAAACTGGAAGAAGAGATTGTTCCACCAGATGCACAGATATTAACATAGGAATACCAAAAAAAATATGATTTAGAAATTCAATAAAAAGATAGCTGTATTAAAAAAGAACCAAACAGACATATTAAAATTGAAAAATTAAATAAATACAATAAAAATAAGTGCTTCATCAATAGACTAAATTAAGTAGAAGAAAGAATTTCTGAACTTACAGACAGGCCTTTTGAGATAAATGCATTAGCCAAAAGAGGAAAAAGAATAAAAATGAATGAAGCAGGACTACGGGACGTATAAGAGGACATTAAGAAAACAAATATTGGAATCATGGAAGTTCCACATTAAGCAGAGAAGAAGAAAAACATAGAAAACCTGTTTAATGATGTAATAGCTGAAAACTCAATTCTTGGAAGATGTGTGGCATGCAGATAACAAGCTCAAATATTTCCATGTAGATTTAACCCAAAAATGTCCTCTCTGAAGTACAATAAATAACTATCACAAGATAAAGAGAGACTTCTAAAAACAGCAAGAGGAAAGCATCAAGACACCTATGAGGAAATGTCAATCAGAGAAACGGTAAATTTGTTAGTGGAAACTATACAGATCAGGAAATAATATGATAATATAGTCAAAATTCAGGGAAAAACAGACAAATTACCTTCCAGCCAGAAATATAACACTCAGGCAAAACTATCCTTTAGAAATTAAGGAGAAATAAAGTGTTTCCCAGGCAAGCAAAAATTGAGGGAATTCATCACCACTAGACTGGTCCTACAAGAATGCTTAAGAAAGTCTTACATTTGAAAGCACATGGGCAATCTCTACCATTATAAAAACATATAAAAATGTGAACCTCACTGGTAGAACAGATAAATAAATGAGAAATAAAACAGAATCAAGTTAAATCAATATAGAAAATCAACAAACTGCAAAGATAAGCAATAAGAGAGGAAGAAAGAAACAAAGAATTTGTAAAACACTAGAAAACAATGTAAAAAATGATAGGAGTAAGTTTTTCCCAGTCAATAACTGACTAGCATGTAAATGATTTAAATTCCCCAATAAAAAGATACAGAATGGCTGAATCGATTAAAAAACAAGACTCAACTATATGCTGCCCACAAGAGACTCACTTCATTTGTAAGGATACATGTAGACTGAAAGTGAAGAGATGGAAAAAGATATTTCATACAAATGGAAATAAAAAGTGAGCAGGAAAGCTATATTTATATCAGATAAAATAGACTTTAAGTAACAAAAAAAGAAACAAAGAAGGTTATTGTGTAATAATAACAAGATCAATTAAGCAAGAGGATATAACAATGTTAAATATGTATGTACCCAATACCATAGCATCCAGATTTACAAAGCAAATATTGTTAGAACTAAGGGGAGAGAGAGTCTCCACTACAGTAAAAGCTGGGGACTTTAACGCCTGACTCTAAGCATGAAACATATCATCTAGACAGAGAGTCAAGAAACATAGGTCTTAAACTGCACTTAACACCAAATAGACCTAAAAGGCATTTATAAGTCATTTTATCCTTTAGCTGCAGAAGACACATTCTTCTCATTAGCACATAAAATATTATTTAGCATTAATTATACTTAGAGCCAAAAACAAGTCTCAATATATTTTTGAAAACTCAAAATTATATCAAGTAAGAGGAAGCAGAGCATAAAACTTTAGAAAATTTTCAGTCTGATGATGCAATAGAAAAGAAAAACCCATTTTCTGAAGAGAAATTCAAGCCAGCTGCAGAAATTTGCATAAGTAATGGGGAGCCAAATGTTAATCACCAAGGCAATGGGGAAAATGTCTTTAGGCATGTCAGAGCCCTTCACGGCATCCCCGCCTGTCACAGGCCTGGAGGCTTAGGAGGAAAAAATGGTTTCATGGGCCAGGCCCGGGGCCCCCCTGCTGTGTGCAGCCTTGGGACTTGGTGCCCTACTTTCCAGCTGCTCCTGCCATGCTAAAAGGGGCCGCGGCACAGCTCTGGCCATTGCTTCAGGTGCAAGCACCCAGTCTTGGCAGCTTGCCTTGCACATGATGTTAGTCCTGCAGGTGTTCATAAGATAAGAATTGAGGTTTGGGAACCTCTGCCTAGATTTCAGAGGATGTATGGGAACACCTGGATGTCCAGCAGAAGTCTACTGCAGGGGTGCAGTCCTCATGGAGAACCTCTACTAGGGCAATGCAGAAGGAAAATGTAGGGTTGGAGCCCTACACAGAGTCCCCACTAGGGCATTGCCCAGTGGAGCTGTGAGAAGAGGGCCACTGTCCTCCAGACCCCAGAATGTTACATCCACTGACAGCTTGCACCGTGCACCTGGAAAAGCTGCAGGCACTCAACACCAGCCCATGAAAGCATCTGACTGGGGGCTCTACTCTAAAGCCACAGTGGGTGGAGATGCCCAAGGTTGTGGGAGCCCACCTCTTGCATCAGCATGCCCTGAATGTGGGCCATGGAGTCAAAACAGATCATTTTGGAACTTTAAGGTTTAATGAATGCCCTCTTGGATTTTGGACTTGCATGGGGCCTGGAGCCCCTTTGTTCTGGCCAGTTTCTCCCATTTGAAATAGTTGTATTTACCCAGTGCCTATACCCCCATTATATCTAGGAAGTAACTAATTTGCTTTTGATTTTACAGGCTTATAGGCAAAAGGGACTTGCCTTGTCTCAGATGAGACTTTGGACTATGGAATTTTGAGTTAATGCTGGAATGAGTTAAGACTTTGGAGGATTGTTGGAAGGGCATGATTGTGTTTTAAAATGTGAGGACATGAGATGTGGGGGGGGTGCATGGGTGGAATGATATGATTTGGCTGTGTCCCCCACCCAAATCTTGTCTTGAATTGTAGTTCCCATAATCCCTACATGTCATAGGAGGGACCTGATGGGAGGTAATTGAATCATGGGAGCAGTTACCTTCATGCTGTTCTCATGATAGTAAGTTCTCAGGAGATCTGATGGTTTTATAGATGGTTTCACCCCCTTTGCTCAGCACTCTTCTCTCTTTCTGACTTGTGAAGGACATGTTTGCTTCCCTTTCCACCATGTTTGTAAGTTTCCTGAGGCCTTCCCAGCCATTTGGAACTGTGAGTCAATTAAACCTCTTTTCTTTGTAAATTACCAAGTCTCAGATATTTCTTCATAGAAGTGTGAGAATGAATAGTATGGAATCATTGTAAGTGTCCATCACCAGCTGAATGAATTAAAAAATTGTGGTATAAATATACAAGGGAATAATATGCAGCTATTACAAAATAATAAAATTCTGTTATTTGCATCAACATGGATAAACCTGGAAGACATTATATTAAGTGAAATAAATTAGGCACAAAAAGATAAATACCATGTGTATCACTTGTACGTGGGAACAAAAACATTTAGCTCACAGAAGTAAAGAGAAGAACTGTGGTTATTAGAGGCTTGAAAATGTAGGAGTAAGAGAAGATAGAAAGAGGTTTCATAAAGGATATAAAATTATAGCTAGAAAAAAGAAGGAGTCCTAGAATTCTATACTACCTCGGGCAACTATAGTTAACAATAATTTAATATATATTTTCAAAAATCCTAAAGAGAGGATTTTGAATGGTCACAACACAAAGAAATAATAAATGTTTTAGGTGATGAGTATGCTAATTACACAGATTTAATCATTACATATTATATACATGTATAAAAATATCACATTGTATTCCCCAAAATATGTACAATTTTATGTCACTCAAAAATTTTAAAATTTTCTAAATGACAAGAATATTTTAAAGATCTCTAAGTAAAAAGTTTTAAAACATTTTTAAATAAAATTTTTATTCAACAATATTTAATATGCTTCTCAGTTTAACTAGAATTTAATAAGAATAAGATGTTTTAAGTAGTCAATATTTAGAGTGTGTATATGTAACCAAAATATGAAAATGTATTAGTATTCTTTACAATTAAATGTGTTTTAAAGGTGCAATATAATCCTTGTAAGGAAAAGGCAAACAAATAAATAAGTCCACAATTGACCAGTAAAAGACAAATTATGTATAGAATGTAAGTATAACATTCAAATAAAGAAAAATGACAAATTACAGAACAAATTGCATTGAGCAACTTTCTGGTTACTTGGGGAATAAAAAACAAAAGTGGATGTATACCTCACACCGTAAATAAAAAATAATTATTGCTTAATGAAGAGATCATAAATTTTAAAAGTACTAGAAGAAAAAAGTGTGTGAGAACTTACAATGTTAAGCTAGTTAAGCTACTTTTGGCATGCTACTTAAGTATGAGACCATAAAGGAACTAACTTTTAGAGTAAACATATAAAGTTTTAAAAATTATCTGTGGAAAACACACAAAATGAAAACACAGATGCTAAATAGGGTAAAATGTTTACTACATACATAAAAACAAAGTTATAATCTGTCATATAAAAAGAGCTTTTAGAGATCAATAAGAAAAAGATGAATGAATTCCCAAGAACAAACAGGAAAAAGACACTGATATATAAGTTATGAATGAAGAAACACAAGTGATTACAGCTTATGACAGGATATTCAAGCTCAATCATAAACTACAGGTCTAAATGATTTGTTGTTGTTGTTGCTGCTGTCATTGTCATTGTTTTTCCTTGAAATAATTTAAATTACCTCAATGGCAACATGATTTTATTGTGACTTTGAACAAAGAGAGAGATGCTTGTGTAGCATGTAGGACTATAAATTGTTTTAGCCGTAGTAAAAAATGACTGGTAATAGGAATCAAAATGTAAAATGTGCATATCTTCTGATCTACACATTTTACTTTTGAGAATATATCCTAAGCGTATGCAAAATATGTAATAAAAATAATTTTAGAGTTTTTTATGGTATATGGAAAATATGAACAATCTAAATAGCTATTAATAGGTAAATACATATATTATAATACTTGGAATTTATATTTATTACCATTTTTCTAATATTTAAAAAATCATTTAACACAGGTATGTTAATTATGTATGAGGGTATAGTGTTATGCAAAGTTACAAATACAAAATCAATACAACTCATTTTAAGGATTTTCTATCTCTGCTTGGTAGTAAAACTTTTATGGAATAAGTTAACAAGTTGCAATTGAAATAGATTTGAGCTTTTCTGGTTGTAATCTCTTGGGCTTAGCCTCAGGTAATAACCAAAAAATTTCCATATATTTTTGTCCTTTAATCCTCATAATAAAACATTTGGATATATATTATTTTCTCTATTCCCTTGATGAGTGAATTGTGGTTTTTTTCCCCTTTCTTTCTTTTCCTTCCTTCCTGCCTTCCTACCTTCCTTCCTTTCCTTCCTTCCTTTCTTCCTTTCTCTCTCTCTCTCTTTCTCTTTCTCCTTCTCTCTCTTTCTTTCTTTCTTTCTCTTCCTTCCTTCCTTCCTTCCTTCCTTCTTTCTTCCTCTTTCTTTCTTTTTCTTTTTTCTTGTAAACTGCTAAGGAAAACACAAGCTAAGATTTGATCCTATTGAAATGAAGACAACCTTTTCTCCAAAGCTGCTTGGAAATGAAATGACCACTTTTCGAAGTCATGGTTTATTCAGTTAACAAGGGCTTGTAATTTCCTATGTGTTGAAACAATAATTTTCATCCTTACAATTCTAGTTCCAGCACTAAATGGAAGCTAGGTTGGGAGTTTGGCTCTCTGTCCTATTGCAATATATTTATTTCTGCATGGATATGCTAGAGAGAAAACTAGTTTATAGCTAGTGAGACAATGTTTAAACTTATTTCGCTATAAATGAAAAATCGCTTGTACTACTTTCAGTAATTGATTTTAAATGCCATTCAGGTTATCAAACCAGATATTTTCAAATGATGATAAGTAGAAAATAGTTTAATGCCAACTGATGTGGAAGTTGCTTATTTGTGTTAATTAATGAGGAGAGGTCTGGTCCATGAAAATATTGTATTACAAACAGTGGCATTGTCAATGAGGCTGTTAGTTTACTCAAGAGTGTAGTATGGTGAAAGTTACATGTTAAATATCAATTACTGAAAAATGGAACATCTTTGAAAAGGAATTTTGCACTATAGAAAACGTCGCAGGAACTCTAAGAGCAATTCTAAGAGCAATTTAAAGAAGGTTTTTCTATAATATAATAAGCTTATTTATATAACAGGGAATATATCAGAAAATGATTTATTCTGCCTGCTCAAAGATCTCCTTTGGGGTAATAAAGTATAATCTTCTGGTATTAGCTGCTATTAATACATAGGCCAGTTGAATTATATCCTAGGCAGAATAGCCCTACATGCAATTGAAAAATGTTGTCCAGGTGATTTTTGGTATGCTTTTAATATTTGAGTCATCAGCCATCCATTGTCTAAAGTAAAATAAATATATCAAATAAAAACGTGTACTTCATTCATCTCATTAGGTTGTCAGCATTTACAGTTAGAGAGTATTTCTGAAAGTATTGTATTTCAGTTCAGAGGAAATACACTATAAATTATAAAATTGCTGACACAGTATCTAATTCTTTTCCACTGTGATGCCTACTAGACCCAAATAAACCAAAGAAAAGTATAAATAGTACTTTATTATACATCTTGTGTGGGGACCGCATCATGCTGCCTATAACAGAATGACCAAATTGGTTTTGTGACGGTCAGTTTTGTTTTGCTTTTTAATTAGCAAGTTTATTTTTATGTTTTATAGATTTTGTCGTAAATACAGCCTAATTAACACCTATAAACTGTGACATATCTAGACTATGCAATATTGTTTACTGAAAAAGAGATGAACTATCAAGGCATGAAAACACATGGATGAAATGTATGTGCATATTAGTAAGTGAAAAAAGCCAATTTGAAAAGTCTGCATACTGGATGATTCCAACTATATGGCATTCTGGGAAATGCAAAATTGTGGAGACAGTAAAAAAATTTAGCATTTGCTCGGGATTAGGATGGAAGAAGGGATGAACTCGTGGAACACACAGAATTTTGGGGGGCAATGAAACTATGCTGTGTGATACCGTAATCATGAAGATGAATCATTATATACTCATCATAACTCACGGAATATACAACATCAAGAGTAAACCCTAGTGTAAATTATGGACTCTGGGTGACAATGGCGTGTTGATATACGTTTATTGATTGTAACATGAGTACCACTCTGGTAGGGGATATTGATAGTGGAGAGGCTGTGTGTGTGTGGAGGCAGAGGTATGTGAGTACTCTCTGTAACTTCCACTCTATTTTGCTGTGAACCTAAAAGTGCTCTAAATGTGTCTATTTTTAAAACATAAAATAAAAATAAAAAACCTGAATTTTATATTCGTAATCTTCATACTTTTAGTCTCACCACCTTAAGTATTTTACTGTTTGCCACTTACCAAAATGGTGGTGCAATTGAAGAATGGTACGTGATTCCTCTATGTTGTATCATAGTAAAGTCATGCTTGCATTTTTTTCTTTCTTATTGTAGTAGAAAAGCCATGGATTTCAGAATCTGTAAGATCTTAGTTCCAATTCTAGTTATACTAGCTGTGTATAAACTTATTTCGGTATAAATAAAAAATCGCTTGTACTACTGTCAGTAATTGATTTTAAATGCCATCCAAACCTGAAGGATAGAAAATATCCTTTTAAGGTTATAAATCTATCCAAACCTGAAGGATAGATAATATCCTTTTAAGGTTATAGTGAACATTAAGTAAGAAATATTTTGAAGTAGTTTAAAATACTAATAAATATTAAGTATACTTTTAATACTCATATATATTTTCCTTTTCAATCAATACTTGTTTTTCGATGTTCACAAAGCTTTTGTTAAAAGGGCAATGTTTTAAAAATATTTCTGTAGAGCTGTAGTTTATCATTGTGTGAATCATATTACAACACTAGAGTCTCCTAGCTCATAGCTAGGAGCTAGTTAGTTCGTAACTGTGTGAAGAAGATAAATCTTTTGAAACGACAAAGTCACGACTCACTCATCTTAAAAGGTATCTCATTATCCTAGAACAAACTTGGCATCATTGTATTACTGACTTCCAAGAGAAACCAATCCCATTTTGCCTGTATTGTCTTTCCTCTTACCGGCATTTTTTAATAAATGCTGTTGACACAGTAGCTTGCTTTCTCACAGTTCAGTTTTCCTAACTGTTTGATTCCATGGCAAATCCATAATCCTATTTTAAATATTCTCCAGGCCATGAAAATGAATGCTATTTATATCAATTCGGCTGTTCAACTGCAGTGCAGAAAAAGCTTTTGTATCCAGAGATACAAGCCTCTGGTTCAAGCATAAATTACTGGGATACACTGCTCTTTTTTCTTTTAAGCTGAACTCTCCTTGACACGAATCCCCATAGGTGTCTTAGGTAATAACTGATATTCCAAGAAAAAAAATTGTGAAAAACAGTTAAAGGAAAAGACAATTTACATTTTTAATCTGATAGATCATGTTTCCAAAATGAAATCTCTCTTAACTCTGGTAATCAATTAATTCATACATATTTCCATCAATAGATCTTTGAATAGTGGCTTAATTGGTCTTTTGGAAATGAATCATTTGCAAAGGTAGAGTCGTGCTTCATGTACTAGCTCCCTGAAAGGTAGTGTGCAGAAAGATTAAATCGCAAAGTGGATTGTAATCAGGCAGATCTTGGTTCAGATTGTGACTGTTTCCTACTTAAACTTTCAGTTTTAAAATTGAACTTGGCAGAGCTTATTTTATGAAGTATGAATAATATTTACTTCTTGAGTAAATAAATCTTGAGGTTGATTTAAATGTTAAGTAATATAATATATGTAAAGCACTATGCAGAATCTGGTATGTAGTGAAAGCTAAATTTGAGTTATTATTATATGCAGGACTATCTTAAGTTTGACACACTAGCTGTATTTTTCTAAACTGTATAAATCACTTCGACTAAGTCAACTAGTATATTTCTATGACGTACTCATAAAACCAAAAAGATTAATCATTTCTTGGAAAGCTTATGAACTTATAATATGCAGTCCTAATTGAACCATGACCTACAACAGAGTTTTCCATACCAATGTAATGTTTCTTGGCCTTGTTGCACCGAATGGAACATAAGCTCCGTGGGGACAGAGATTACATTTATTTTGGTCTTTGTATTTTGCAAGTTACCTCATTTATGAACTTGCACATAATTAGTATTCAATAGTTACATAATTAGTATTCAATAGTCATTTATAAACTGACAACATATAAAAGTAAATACAGGTTATCAACTGACACTCTTATTTATCTTATTTTAAAAAACTTTATTATGATAATCTTTTTAAAAATAGTTATTGTGGTGCCTGTATCAAAGATATTAACAGAAATTTGTTAAATAAATGAATGTAGTTAATTTTCATTTACAGAGCATGAATGCCAGAATTTGGATAACTTCTGTACTTTCCTTGTGTTCAAATTCTGGCAGGACTAAAATATGTCTGTTTTTCCTTTCTTCCAATAATATCTCATGCCATGTTTATATAATTAATACAGTAGATTATTATCCATAAATTACATATATGCAAATTCAACTACATGCTAAAGTTAACTTGTGCCCCACAAATCTACTCCTGGGTCTTTCACAGTCATTCATAGACATATGCAGAATAACAGAACAATTGAGTTGCTTGTTGTCTACTTTCCCAGCTAAGGTTGAACGAGGTGACACTGTGCCTTCCTGTTTCAGCTCTTTTACTGTAAACAATTATCGTTTTGAGGGTCTACTTAGTGACATGTTTTTCACATTTTTGTGCTTTCTGTTGGTCATGTTCCTGTTTAAAATCACTTCCCACCAGTCACTTCTGCCCCCAAGCATAGTGATGAAGAGTTGTCCTGTCTTCCTTAGTGCAAGAATGCTGTGATGTGCCTTATGGAGCAAACACATGTGTTAGATAAGCCTCATTCAAGCGTGAGTTATAGTGTTGTTGGCTATGAGTTCAATGTTAATGAATCATTTAAAATAAGGTGTCTTTAAACAGAAACAAATATGAAGTAGGTTATAGGTTAAAGGGTTCATGAAAATGTTGTGACCAGAGGCTCACAGGAACCTGATCCTGTATTTCTCCTAGGAGCAATGATTCAGTAGTTGCTAATTCAGTGTTTATGCTGAGAATACAGGTAAAAACAACTGCAAACAATGAAAATTGTCTATACCACTTGTAGTAGTCAACTCTTAGTAATCAAACTCTTCTTAGGGTTCACAGTATAATATAGAGATGATGGGTACCAGATTGGATTACATGATCTTTTGATGTTTTCTGAGTCTCCTAATACTTTTCTTGATGGGATTGAATGATTGGATATCTTAAGGCCAGCTTCCAGAAATAAGCTGATCAAGTTTTGATATGGTATATTGGAATTCTGTCCACTCCCACTGCCTTTTCCATAACTATTCACACTCTAATAAGTAGTGGAACATCATTTGCAGAGATGGGATGAATAGGTAATTTTTGGCTATGAAATTTGCTTGTCCCCATAGGTCTCTCAGATGCTCAGTTTGGCTTTCACTGTGCAGCAGCCAATCATTACAGGAAAAACTGTTACTCTTCCTAATCTTAAGTAACTTTGATTTTACCCTCTCGTCATGAAATAAGACCTACTTAGCCGTATGGAAGGGGAGTTTAAGATAAAGGAAATTGAGGAATGTTAAAAAAGAGTAGAAATGTTATCCAAGGAAGGAGAGAGAAAGAGATGCAGATTAGCACAGGGTGAATTTAGACCAGAATGCCTTAATACAGATGTTCAGTAAAGCTAAATCTAATTCTCATTGAAAATCCCCCCTCCCTTTAAAATATCTCCAACACTATGTCAAGAAAGAGAGAAAGAGAGATAGAAATTTCTTCTTCCAACCTTGTTCAAGATTTTGCCCTCCCCCATATTCTTTATTCTGTTGTGGGCAAGGAATGTGATTTTTCTTATTGAAAGTTAAAAAACAGGAAGTATTTGAGATCTGCTGGGAACACACACACATGCATAAAAAGATAGTGAATTTGGAGGAAAGTGTTCTAAACTCAGAGTAAAGGGCTAGGTTCTAATTATCTGCAGATGGCAAATTGCTGGCTTTGTAGGATGGATGGATGGATAGATAGATAGATAGATAGATAGATAGATAGATAGATAGATATGGATGAGGCCCAAGCCTATATGTTACTGCATTCTGCTGTGGGTTTGCAGACAAGTCTAGTTTAACTTCTTTATTGCAGTCTTCACCTCAACACACTTACTGCAAGAGACAATATTGTTATCAGGCTAAGAACTACAGAACAGAAGGTGGATTTATATATTCCCTTCTCCAATCACACCATTTGAAGACATATAAGTCCTCTGGATTTACAATTAGAGAACGACCAGCAACCTCTATAAAAAATAGTGCAGAAAGAGACCAAGATTCAATAATTATACACAGTTGTTAGGTCTCAGTGTCTGCTTTGCCTAAAATGATAATGCCCAGCAACTTTTTCTCTTTAGATGTGTGCCTAAAAGCCAGGTACAGTGTGGTAGGTGACTCAAAGATAGGATGAATACCCTCTTTCCCCCCACGATATCATGACATATTTGTCTTCTTTGAAGACCAAGAACTCACTTGGCAGTTTGCTTTGGCAGCAGAGCTTTCTGAGAGAGAGAGAAAAAGAGAGAGAGAGAGAGAGAGAAAATATTGACAGAAGTGGTCACATTTCTCATCTTTTTGTCAGCTCTGGTAGTAAATTCAAGATTTAAATTTGTAGTAAGTATGGAACTTTATAGAACACAAAGTAAATGTCAAAGTAGACACCAGGAAAAATTATTTTTGCTTCTACAGCCCTATCACAAAGGCAATCTCAGATTTAATAGTTATTCCAAAAGGAGCGGGAGCATAAAGCTTCATTGTAAAACACAATACTCTAACAAATGGTGGAAGGCTTGCAATTTCATTGCAAAGAGAGAACATAGCACTTCTTTGCCAAATATGTGGCAAATCATATTTAATTGAAGCTATTATTCCAGTGAGAAGAAATAACAATTTGACTTCTAGGGAGTTTTAATTGACAGTATTATAATATTTGTGCAATGTACATCCACTACAAGAATAAAAGAAGCTTTTACAATTGCATACTGAAAAATGAAAGTATCAATAAAATTTCTGTAAATCCTGGAAATAATAATATCACAATATAGCTAGCTAAAGAACAATTTTCTTCACTAGATTCACATAGCTTAGAGAAAAATAATTTTCACAGAAATATACTCATCATCTCTTTCCCTAACCCATCTTTTGTAATTTTCCTAATTTCCTCTGTATTCCACTATTTCATCATCTCATTATTAAGAAGCAAAACATAGAGGCATTTTTGCATTATGCACTACAGTCTTTTGTTTGAAATTTAATGGGTCATGAGTTCTGCAGTCCTTGGGAAGATAGTCTTTAAAAAAATGGGGATTTTTAGATATTACATACTTGTAGCCATCTGCTTAATATGTCATTTTCAACCATTACTATGAAGGTGTGGAGAGTGTTATCTCACTTCAACTTCACCAACAAACACTTCAACATGCATTAGTTTTTTTCCTATCAGAACCATCACTCAAGAAATACCAGTTGAATGCATATAAACATGGCACTGTGCTAGGTAATGTGGAGGATGCAAAGGTAATAGACACCTGTATCTGACAACATTCTAGTAGGAAAAGGAGACTTACACAAAATGTTTATATAGTTTCACTACAGAGTGAGATGTGTCCTAAGAGTCATGCAGGAAACTGTGCGAGATGGATTTCAGTAGAAGAAATCAATATGAGCTCCATACGGGGGCTTTATTATAAGGGGTAGAATTCTCACCTCAGTTAAGGTAGAATGTCCTTGGGGGAAAAGCAAAAAAAGTTCAGGACACACAGGGAGAATCCATCTAATTTGAAGTATAGACGATGTAAAGAGAGGGAGTGGGTGATAAGTTTAGAAAAACATGTAAAAGCCAAAATAACAAAATTATTTAACATCAGATGAGGCAGTTTGAACTTTATTTTACAGGCAATAGGGCATTAGTGAAAATTTTGAACAAGAAAGTAACATAATCACAATTATACTCAGGATAGAGTGGATTAAATAAGCAATGGAATTGATATTAGAAAGAAAAATTAGGCATAAGGCACAGAGAGGGTGATAAACTTCTGAGCTAGAATGTTTTATATTTTCATTTCTGCCTAACACCAATTCTTGGATTACCTGGATGTTACTAAGAATATATATACATATATTCACATTAAGATAAAGCTATGATCAATAATGTTTCTTTTTTAATTTCAGATTTTTCATTATTCGTATACTGCTTCATATGTGATTTACAACATACACACTAGGTAAGTTCTTTGATTTTCTAGTTTTCATGAGCAATTGTGTTACTAAATTGTTGGTGTAGATATCAGTTTGTTCATGTAAAAATATTCACATTTTTTCAAGGGAAGTTTGGGAGTTAAATCCTCCAGAAGTAGAGGACTCCGTCTTGCAGTACGCGGCCTGGGGTGTCCAAGGGCAGCAGCTGGTAAGCGCAGGCATTGGTATGCACTGAACACTGCCAATCATGGTTTTATGGAAGATGTTAACTGAAACTTTGGAAAAACCATAGGAAAACTTGTCCTACAAAACTTTATGTTTCCCTAAGTCCTTTATATCTTTTATCTAATAGTCCAACTTAAGAATACATTAAATGATACTAGTATTATTTTATCAGTTAATAAAGACAAAAGTTTATTAAGTAATATATGATTAAACTGCTGGTTTATAATGAAACCTAGAAGAGATTCAAGGTTACTAGGACCTTGTACTGCATACTTTCCATTACATAATATTGTCAGTTTTCATGAAAAATTCAAAATAAAGATTATTTTTTCTTAAAGCATTGTTCAGGGTAAAAATTTAGACAGAATTATTTAATATTCTCTTAAGAGAGGATTTTTACTTTTATTTTTATTTTGAAATTATTACAAACTCAAAAAGATAATTATTGATATATAAAGCAGTTTGAGCAATTATATATATATGTATGTGCATGTTTATTTTAGGCAAAGTCTTGCTCTGTCATCCAGGCTGGAGTGAGATCTCAGCTCGCTGCAACCTCTGCCTCCCAGGTTTAAGCAATTCTTGTGCTTCAGCCTCCTGAGTACTTGGGATTACAGGCACATGCTACCAGGTCTGGCTAGCTTTTATATTTTTAGTAGAGACGGGGTTTTACCATGTTGGCCAGGCTGATCTCAAACTCCTGACCTCAAGCGATCCACCCACCTAGGCCTACCCAAAGTGATGGGATTACAGACATGAGCCAGTGAGCCCCGCCTGCAATATTATATTCTTGTACATATCTCATGGTGACAATGTAAAGCCTTTCTCAAGGGAATATTGCTCAGGGAGTAGTATTGCTTACTATCCTGTGCATGCTCAGATGTACTGAGCATCACCAAACTGATTTCTAGGTTATTTGTTAAGCGTGTTTACACCTACCAGCAATAATGAGAGCGTTCCCTTGGTTCCATATCCTTGCCAACACCTGTTTTTCCAGACTTTTAAATAATTACTCAAATGATGATACAAAATAGTATTTCGTTATAGTTTTATTAACATTTAGTATTTCCTTGAATTCTAATAAGCTAGAGCAACTTTTCATATGGTTACTGGCAATTTGTATTTTTTCATATGTGAAATATCTATTCATATATTTGTCCATTCACATTTTTTATTCTTTTTTTTTTAGTTAAAAGGAACCCCTTATATGTTCTGGATATTAATACATTGTTTGGTCTATCTTCATCCAGTTTTCGGATTTACTTCTCACTCTCTTAATGGATCCATTTCTACAAACATATTTTTTTATAAATGTAGTCTGATTTATCAAATACATGATTTGTACTTTTTGTTATTGATGAAATCTTTACAATGAAATCATACTTCTCTAGAATTTTTCAAGTGGGCCTTCCATGTATAGGTTCTTGATCCATCCATCTGAAATTGCTTTTTTTGGTATGGTATTAAGTCCCTATCCATTTTTATATATGTTTTATATGGCCAACAATTGTCCTGAAACCTTTTGTTGACCACTTCATTCTTTAACTATTCATCTGCAGTGTTACAGTGTTATGCTGTACATATCCATGAGTCTTCTTCCGGCTCTTTTTTTCTTCCAGGTGGTTTGTCTATTAGTGTGCTAAGACAACAGTATCTTAATTAAAATAAGCTTTACTAGCTGACAAGGCAGTTTCATATGCTGACTTTGACTCTTCTTGACTTTTTAGCCTTTCATATGAATGTCACAATTGTCTTTCATGTTACATGCCCATTTTCAGAATTTTGAATTTATTATTTGAATCTATATGTCTATTTTGGGAAATTAACATCTTAGTGATACTGAATCTTCATATCTACAAACATTTAATGTATGTATTTAGTTATTTAAGACTCTTAATATCTCAAATTTTACAATTTTATATCTAAAAATTTACACTTTATCATTTTGGTGACTCTTTTAAGTGCTTGCATTTCTTATTTTAAAAATGTTTGCTACTGGTAAATAGAAAGGTACTCAAATTATTTATTTAATATATATCAACCTTGCTACGCACAATTATATATTCCAAATAATTCTGTGTAGACTATTATGCTTTTTGTTAATAATGACATTTTTCTTTTCCATTTCAATTTTTATAATTTCTATGTCGTTAAAATCCTTCTGCACTAGTTAACCTATGAATGTAACTAGGTATGGTGGGGTTTTTTGTTTTTTGTTTTTGCTGGAATACTAAAAAATTGATTCTATTATGGTTACTGGGTTAAGTTTTACAATTTTTTTTTTAGTTAGTTTTAGTTAGTGACTGCAATTGATGAGACATGCTTTATGGCTTGGGATTTTTTCAAAATGCTTTTTATGTGATGGATAATTTTATATATGTTCTATATGACAGGAACAATGTTCTATATGTGCCTACAGGATCAATCTTAATAATTATGTTTCTAAGAGTTATATTTTCTTACTAATGACAGTGGATATGTGATTTTTTTCTTTAGTTGTCAGTTTTGCATTATATAATTTGAACTATGTTGTAAAGAATGAGGAAGTTATAAAATGATAAATACATCTTTCTATTGAATTCAAATGTTTTATACCTTAATAAATATATTTACCTTATTTACCTTTAATAACTCTGATTGGCCAACCCTCATCCTATCCTTTAACTAGTTCTTTTAACGTAGTTTAGAATCCTCTAGGCTTTTTTAAAATTTGAATTGCTGTTTTAACAACAGCTGGTTGGGCTGAGTTAAGTTTTTAATTTCCTGCAAGCCTCAATTTTCTCATCTATAAATAGAAATATGTACACCATCATATCATTGTGATAATTATTTTGGAAAATGACTATTTTTCATAATAAGATGCACATTACTATGATTTATATCCTATTTTATAAATCTGTATATTTCTTAAGCTTATTAGTGAAATAGGGTAATTATAATAGATATTTCATATCATGAGAAGCCTACAGAATAATACACTGTGGCTAAATAAGGTTTCCTTTCATTGGAAAATAATCTGGACCCTCAAATATTCAAAGAAATCCTACAAACAACCCTGCATTCACTGTCCTTTCCACACTAAATGGTTGAATAATTGAGTAAATCATTATGATGAAAAAAGGTTAGTGATTTAAAATGAAAAATGTCTGCAATTGTCCAGATACCACAGATTATAGACATTATATTTGCTTTTATCTTGTAGATATTTAGATAAATTAACAAACAATGCATTTAATCTACCATCACAGAACTCTCTGTAATCTATCCCACTATGATATTTCTGAAAAGTGGCAGCAAAATTTGCATAGAATATGGTAAATATGAATGTGCAGGGTTTGGTCTAGATAAGGCATGTAATCAATGAAACATTCATGGACAATGGTGAGTGGACACCAAGAAGTGGCAGGTGCTCTCATCCTTCCTGTTTCACTCTGATGTTGTGAACAATAGAGCTGGTCCATTGGGCCAGAAGCAACTTTGGAACAAACCAAATTCCAGAACACAGAAACCCAAGACAACTCCACCTTTTGTACAAAATACTGCCCAGTATTTTAGAAAAAAATGGACAGTATTTTGGAAAATCTTTTACACTTTGGTTGGTTTTAAATGACCCTCTTATTCTTCATACTTGAGGGAAACCAACACCTATGACAAAATAATAGCACTTTGATACACTCAGGGAAATAGTATTAATGTATGCATTTTCTTTATTTGTTATTGATTCCTTATTTTTTAATATATTTAAGAAAATTATGAAAATACTAAAAATGTATAAAAATTATAGGTTCCCTGTTTGAAGCCATATTGCAGGTGATTACATTCTGGTTCTACTGCTTACTAGCTGTTGATCTTGAGAACATTATTTAATCTTGATATGGCTTACTGTTTCCATCTTTAAAATGGTAGTGCTTTATCAATAGTGCTATTCTGGTGTTTAATGTATGAAATACAGTTCTAAAGCACTTTGAATAGTATCTGGCCTATAATAAGTATTTTGTAGGTATTCACTTTTACTATTATTAAAAAATCTGTTTTCATATGAATTTAAACACCTTAGGGAACTTTAGGGTGACTAGTTTTGTGGAGAATTAAGCTTAAGTTTTCTGTAATGTCATTTTTCAAACTCCTTTGGGGAATTCTTAAGAGAAATTTCATATTTATCTAGTTTATCTTTTGAGTGCATGCAAACATAAATTTAAAAAAGTAAAAGACATACTTCTACAAATGGCCAATGGTCCATTTCATATGAGTTTGGCATGCTTTGTCAATATTTGAAGCTATTAGCAAACTCAGCAATATGATTTTATTAGAGATGAGTCATTACAATACTTTAATTAGTTTTGCATTAAATAAAGAGGCTTGTAGTGTTTACTAACTAAGGATAATTAATTATCCTTCATTTTCAGCTTCTAATCTTATTTGCTGTAAAAGAAATTCCTGGTATTATAGAAGAGAGGCAAGGGATTGACATAATTTACTGAGGAAGAGGATCTAAGTTAGAACTCAGAATATTGAGGAGAACTTTCAATAGCACTAAGTGTGAGTAAAGGCAATTTAGATGTGTCAAAATTTGTGGAAAAATGAACCTGAAGCAATAAAGAGTGCATTATTTGGAGAAGGTGGTGAGTGAACCACTTTAGCTGTAATAAAGTTTTATTGAATAGAAATGGTTTGGGAAGAGGAATCTGGGAATTATGGTAGAAAGAGAAGCACCAGGAATCTGTTTTTCCATTCAGATAACAATTGCTACAGTAGACATGTAACTATTGAGAACTCTAGTCTATTGAAAGTGTGTAAATTTTATGGGAAGGCTTGAATGGAAGTTTGTGGTTAATTTTAGTTGACTTGAACTCTTAGCTCAGAAGCAGCTACCTATCTTCGACCCCAGCCCCATGGCAGGCAGCTGTGCTTATGTTCCTGGAGCATGCATTCATCTTGCAGGAACCAGGATGGACAATGAGGGCCCTGTGATGCAAATAAGTAAGGATTTGTATTCTTATTGTTTATTGCCCCTTCTCATTATGAAATTGCAGATATAGAGGAAGGCAGCTATTGTTTCACATCCTTACACCCTTATAACAAGCTCCTCTCCCTCCAGCTGAAGTGAATTCTAAGGTGGTTAAAAGGCCAGTGCCCTTTCCTACTCTTCATTTTTCTCTTTTTTGAGGGATGTCAGCCATTAAAAATTAAGATATTCAAAGGCAACTGAATGTATGGGAGAAATTAGCAAGTCACCATACATGCACAGGGAAAGATGCAGGCTTACAAAAGATCTGAGAAGACTTTTTTCACATAAGGCTGATTCTCAGCATAAAGACAGCCTCCAACAATTACAAAAGAACCAACATAACAAAACAAAAGCAAAAACATAAAATAGAAAACCATGGGAAATGGGAATGTATTAGTCCGTTCTCATGCAGCTAATAAAGACATGCCTGAGACTGGGTAATTTATAAAGGAAATAGGTTTAATGGACTCACAGTTCCACATGGCTGGGGAGGCCTCAAAATCATGGTGGGAGGCAAAGGAAGAGCAAAGTCACGTCTTACATGGCAGTGGGCAGGAGGGCATGTGCAAGAGAACTCCCCTTTATAAAACCATCAGATCTCATGAGACTTATTCACTATCATGAGAACAGCTTGAGAAAAACCTGCCCCCATGATTCAATTACCTCCCACCAAGTCCCTACCATGACATGTGGGAATTATTAAAATTCAAGGTGCAATTTCAGTGGGGACACAGAGCCAGATTATATCAGGGGAGATTCTGATTTCCAGAGATACCAAAATTATTAGATTCAAATTGTCTGGTTTTCAACAATAAAAAAATTACAAAGAATACAAAGCAATAAGGAAGTATGGCCCACTCAAAGGGATAAAAGACCCAACATCAAGAAATAATGGAAGTCATGGAAAATATGAAGAACATGATGTATGAACAAAATGGAAATACCAGTGGAGAGAGAGAGAGTAAACCTAAAAGACACCAAATAAAAAGTTCTAGAGCAAAAGCTTACAGTAACTGAAATAACAGTTTTACTAGAGAGTCAAGATATACTTGAGCAGGGAGAAGAAAGAAGTAGTGAAACTGAAGATAAGACAAGTGAAATGATTGAGTATTAGGAACATAAAAAATAAAAGACTGAAGAAAAATAAACAGAACCTAAGGGACCTATGGAATACCATCAAGTGGGGCAACATAAGGATTATGGGAATGTTAGAAGTAGAAGAGGGAGATGAAGGGGTAGAAAAAATATTTTTAAAAATTAACAGCCCCAAATTTGATGAAAATCATTAGTATAAATAACCAAGAGCTCAAAAAATCCAAATAGGATGAACTCAGAGACCCACACCAAGACAAGTTACAATCAAACTGTTGAAAGACAAAGACAAAGAGAATTTTGAAAGCAACCTGAGAGAGGCCCTCCTCGCTTGTCACATACAACATATCCTTATCAGCAGATTTCTCATCAGAAACATAAGAAGCCACAAGACAGTGGGCTGATGTGTTCAAAATTCTAAAAGAAAAACAAAACAAATCAAAATCTGTTAACCAAAAATTTCATGTCTGGAAAAACTGTGTTTCAAAAGCAAGGGAGAAATTAAGACATTCTCAGATAAAGAAAAATTGACAAGAGTTACCACTAGACCTGCCCTGCAAGAATTACTAGTGGGAGTCCAGCAGGTTGAAATGAAAGTACACTAGGCAGTGATTTGAAGCCTTATAAAGAAATAAAGATCCCGGTAAATGTAAATACATGGGCAATTATAGAAATGTATGTTATTGTTACAATGATTTGTAACTGCACTTTTTCTTTTCTACTTAATTTAAAAAGCTAAGATATTTAAAATTTTTAGTCTAAAAGCTAATATTATTTTAACTTTAATTTGTATTTCACATTTTTTTTAGACATAATTTAAGAAAGTAATGCCTTAAATGTCATTAGTTAATACCTTTGGATGTACAATATACAAATATGTAATTTTGTGACTTCAATAATTGAGGGAGGTGAGGATGAAACTATGAATGAGCAACGTTTTTGAATGTTATTGAGGTTAAGCTTGTATAAATTCAAATCAGCACTATAACTTTATGATGTTGCATGGAACCGCCATGGTAACAACAAAGAAAATAATAAATATACACAAAAGAAAGGAAATGAGAATGGAATTAAAACATTCTACTATTAAAAATTAAACTCAAATAAGACAGTAATGTGGAAAATGAGGGTAACAAAAGATAAGGGATATAGAAAAGAAATAGAAAAATCACAAAAGTAAGTTATTCCTTATCAGTAATTACTTTAAATATAAATAGATTAAATTATTCAATTAAAAGAAACTAAGAAGATAAGTTTTAAAATATAATATGATTCAACTACATACGCTCTATAAGAAACTCACTGTAGATACAAAGACACAAATAAGCTGAAAATAAAAGAATGGAAAGAGATATTTCATGCAAACAGTAAGCAAAATAAAATAGGGGTTGCTATACTAACGTAAAAATAGGCGTTAAATCATAAACAGTTTTGAGAGACAAATAAATCAATACAGTAAGAAGATATAACATTTCAAACATTTATATACCTAATAACAGACCATCAAAATATATAAAGCTAAAAATGAATATAATTGAAGGGAATATATATATATATATATTTCTACCATAATTGTTGGTGATTTCAACACCATACTCTCAATAATGGCTAGAAAAACCAGAGAGAAGATAATTAAGAAAATAGAGGATTTAAAAAACACAGTAAGGCCAGGTGCAGTGGCTGACGCCTGTAATCCCAGCACTTTAGGAGGCTGAGGCGGGCGGATCACGAGGTCGGGAGATCGAGACCATCCTGGCTAACACGGTGAAACCCCGCCTCCACTAAAAATACAAAAAATTAGCCGGGCGTGGTGGCGGGCGCCTGTAGTCCCAGTTACTCTGAAGGCTGAGGCAGAATGGCATGAACCCGGGAGGCAGAGCTTGCAGTGAGCCGAGATGTGCCACTGCACTCCAGCTTGGGCGAGAGAGCGAGACTCCATCTTAAAACAAATAAATAAACAAATAAAAAACACAATAAGCCAACTAGACTTAGCAGATGTATACAGAACACTCAACCTAACAACAGCGTACACGTTCTTTCACGGGCGTTTGAGAAATTCTTCAGGATGGATCATACATTTTGCCACCTATTAAGTCTCAATAGCTTTTAAAAAATTATCACACAAAAGATCTTCTCTGATCACAATGGGATAAAGTTAGAAATCAATAACAAACTGAAAACTGAAAAATTTCTACATTTGTGGAAATTAGAAAACATTCTCTCAACCAGTGAGTTAAAAAATTACAGAAAAATTAGAAAATACTTAGAGATGAAGTAAAATGAAAGCACAACATACCAAAATGTATGAGATGCAGCAAAAACAGTGTAAGCGGGAAGTAGCTATATATACTTACTGCTGTGGAATTAATGGTGTTCCCACAAAATTTATGTTGAAGCCCTAACCTCCAATGAGACTTTGTTAGTTTGTTGGAGATAAAAGTTTTAGGAGGTAATTAAGTTTGTACAAGATCATGTGTGACGCTTTAATCCAACAGGACTGGTGGCTTAAAAAACAGAGGAAGATCTCTCACTCTTTCTCTTGCTCTTGCTGTCACTCTCTTTCACTCTTGCTCTTTGTCTCTCTGTGCATACTCAAAGGAAAAGTCATGTGAGGGCAAAGCTGCCATCTGTAAGCCAGTAGGAGAGCTCTTACCAAAAACTGAAACATGTTGGAACCCTGATCTTGGATTCTTTAGCCTCCAGCACTGTAAATAAATATATTTCTGTTATAAACTGCACTGTCTTTGGTATTTTGTTATGGAAGGCTGAAAGGATTAAGACACTCACATTAGAAAACAAAAAAAGATCTCAAATCAACAACCTAATTTTACAACTGAAGGTACTCAAAAAAGAAAAACAAACTAAACCTAAAGATAGTAGATATAAACAAAGTAGATAATTAAAAACAGAGAAAATCACTAAAATCAAAAGTTGGTTCTTCAAAAAAATCAACTAAATTGGCAAACCTTTAGTTAGCTTGACTGAAAAAAAAAAAAACAAAAAAAAAAAAACAAGAGAAGACTCAAATTCCTAAAATCAGATTGAAAGTGGGGATATTATGACCGTTTCTACACAAATAAAAAGGATTATAATAGTACTATGAACAATTGTATACCAATAAACTGGATAACCTAGACGAAATGAAGATAGTACCAAAAATGCAAAACTTCGTAGTAGAGTCATGAAGAAATAGAAAATCTGAATAGGCTTATAGTTAATATGGATATTAATGCAGTAATCAAAAACCTCCTGGCCAAAAACATTCTGGAACTGATGGCTTCATGGGTGAATTCTACTAAACATTTTTAAGAAAACCTAACACCAAGGCCAAGGCGGGCGGATCACCTGAGGTCAGGAGTTTGAGACCAGCCTGGCCAACATGGTGAAACCCTGTCTCTACTAAAAATACAAAGATTAGCTGGATGTGTTGGCAGGCACCTGTAATCCTAGCTACTCAGGAGGCTGAGGCAAGAGAATTGCTTGAACCTGGGAGGCAGAGGTTGCAGTGAGTTGTGATTTGAGATCATGCCACTGCACTCCTGCCTGGGCAACAGAGTGAGACTTTGTCTCAAAAAGAAAAACAAACAAACCAATATTTCTCAAACTTTTCCAAAAAGTCAAAGAGGAGAAAGCACTTCTTAACCCATTATCTGCCAGCATTATCCTGATACAAAAATCTATACATGCTACAAAAAACTTACAGATCAATTTTTCTTATGAACATTTATGTAAAAATTCTCAACAAAATACTAATACAACAAATTCAACTGTGTAAAAGATTATACAACATAGCTAACTGGGATTCATTCTTGAAATGTAAGGATCATTCAATATATAAAAAACTGATCAATGTAATTGTATTAGTCCCTTCTCACATCGCTATAAAGAAATATCTGAGGATGGGTAATTTATAAAGAAAAGAGGTTTAATTGGCTCACAGTTCTGTAGGTTGTACAGAAAACATGGCTGGGAAGGCCTCAGGAAACTTTTACTCATGGCAGATGGGAAAGCTGGAGCAGGCATCTTCATGTGGCTAGAGCAGAGGAAGGGGGTGAGAGTTACCACACACTTTTAAACAAACAGATCTTGTGAGAACTCACTCATTATCCTGAGAAAAGCACAAAAGTGATGGTACTAAACCATTCATGAGAAACCCACTGCCATGATTTAATCATCTCCCAGCAGGCCCCTCCTCCAACTTTGGGGAACACATTTAACATGAGATTTGAGTGAGGACACAGATTCAAATCATGTCAGTAGTATACTACATTAATGAAATTAAAGAAAAAAAACACATAATCATCTCAACTCATACAGAATAAGCATTTTTAAAAATTTAACACCCTTATATGACTAAAAAAAAACAACAAACTAGAAATAGGAGAAAAGTACCTCAACATAATAAATGTCATCATGTATGCAAAATGAACGGTGATCATTATACTTAATGGTCAAAGACTGAAAATAGTTTCTTTGAGATAAGAAACAAGGCAAGGATCCTTCCTTTTGAAACTTGTATTCACCACAGTACTGGAAGTCCTAGCAAAAGCAATTAAGCAAACAAAAAAATAAAATCAATTCAAATGGAAAGAAAAATAAAATTATTTCCATTTACAGATTATATAATTTTATTTCTTTAAAAGCCTAGAGTCCACACACACACTCAGCATTTTAGAACTAATAAACACATTCAGCAAAGTACTAGGATAAAAAGTCAACACAGAGAAATCATATACATTTGTAAGTCTATACAATAACTGTGGGCAATCTGAAAGGAAATTAAGAAAATAATTTTATTTACAATAGCATGAAGAAGGATAGAATGCTAAGAAATTAACTCAGTCAAATAGATGAAAGACTCATACAATGAAAACTAAAAAATATGTCTGAAAAAAATTAAAGGACACATAATAAATGTAAAGGCATACCATGTTCATGAATTGGAAGATGTAATCTTGTTATGATGTCAATATGCCCAACACAATCTACAGATTCAATTCAATCCCTATCAAAATCCAAATAATGTCTTTTTTGCAGATATAGAAAAGCCTATCCTAGAATTCGTATGAAATTTCATAGGGCTTCAAGTATCCGAAACATTTGTAAAAAAGAAGAAAGTTGGAGAACTCACACTACTGATTCAAAACTTACTACAATGTATAGAATTCAAAATAGTGTGACATAAATTAACTGTGCTGGTACAAAGACAGTAATATAGACCAATGGAAAAGAAGAGAGAGTCCAAAAATAAACTTTCGCATTTATGATCAAATGAAGGTGCCAAATCATTGAATCAGGAAAGGACTATCTTTTTTAAACAACTGATACTGGAAAAACTGGATATCCACATACACAAAAAATAAACTCTTACCTAATATCACATTCAAAACTTAACTCAGATTGGATCAAATATCTCAGCATAAGCTCTAAAACTATAAAACTTTTAGAAGAAAATATAAGTCAGAAGTTTGAAGATATTGGAAGGAATAAATGAATTGAATCATTTTGCAGTGCTTTCTTGGATATGACACAAAAGACACATGAAATTAAAAATTGACAAATTAGATTTTATCAAAACTTAAAACTTTTGTGCATCAAGAACACTATCATTGGAGTAAAAAGGCAACATGTGGAATAGAAAATATTTCCAAATCACTTATCTAAGAAGAGGTTAATATAGAGGAATAAAGTATACAGGAGTTCTTATATAGAGGGATTCTAAAACGTAATAAAAAGAAAGCAACCTGATTAATTCCAAAATGGGCAATGAACCTAGATATCAAAAAATATGTAAATGGCCAATAAGTTCATCAAAATAGCAATTCCTATGGAAAGAAGTTTGATCTTAATATGAAGTGGAACCTTAGGAATTAACCATTTTCGGTAGGTAAACACAACTGAATATAGATGCCTTGATATAATTCCATCGCAGTAAGTAGCAAAGTGTAAGTTAAAGTGAGCTAACATTTCATGCCTATATAATCATCAAAAGTTTAAGTTTGATAATACCATTTACTAGTGAGAATACCATTTACTAGTACACAATAGGGACATGTATATCCTGCCAAAGGACTACTAGTGACACAATGACCTTGAGGAACAAGGTTAATTTCCTTGTTCCTCAAGGTTAAGTTCCTTGTTCTTCAAGGTCAAGTTTGTAGAACTTAGTCGTGTTGAAGAAGTCCATCTCTAACCCTCAGAGAGTGCTGGTGGGCATTTAAAATGGTACAGCCTCTTTGGAAAACAGTCTGGTATCTCCTCAAACAATTAAACAGAAAGTTATCATATGATCCAGCAATTCCATTCCTAGGTATATGCCTAAAAGTTCCCACAAACTTTGTACGCAAATGTCCACAGTAGAATTATTCATAGTAACCAAAAGGTGAGGAAAAACACAAATGTCTGCCAACAAATGAATGGATAAACAAAATGTGGTATATTCAAACAATGAAATTATTATTCATACAATGAAATTATTCAGCCACAAGAAGAAATGAAGCACTGATACGTGCTACAGCTTGGATGAACCTTAAAAACATGCTAAGTGAAAGGAGCCAGTCTTCTTTCAGAAGTCAAATATGATTTCATTTATGTGAAAGTCCAGAATGAGGAAGTTTGCAGGACAGAAAGGAGATTAGTGGTTACTTACAGTTGGAAGGATTGAGGGATCAGGGAGTGATAGCTAAAGTATATGGGACTTCTTTTTGAGATAATGCAAATTTTATAAAATTGACTGTGATAATAGCTGCACACATCTGTGCATACAATACAAACTATAAATCTGTAATTTTTAATGGGTGACTTGTTTGGTATGTGAAGAATAGGTGTTTTTCTAAAGAAAGAACTGGTAAGTCCTACAACAGTAAGTTAGGCATTCAGTTGAAAAGGCTTGTGGTGCAAGAAGGTGTGTCATTTTTCTTTTTAAACAAATGTAGCCTTATAAAGGTCAGAATTACTCATTGTAGAACGTTTTGAAATTGATATAATTAATAAAAACAGAAAGTATACTTATCTATAATTGTATCACGAAGAATGGAATAATTTCAAAAATCAGGTGAAGGGATTTCACCTTTAGAAGGAAAAACATAGTACTAATTAGAATGAATCTAGAATCAAGAAGCTCAAGTCCAGATTATTTTCCATTCTTTTCCTTACTCATTTTTTAAATTTATTTATTATTATTATTATTTTGCTTTGTGATTTAGGGAGAGTTGAAGGCTGTACGCTTAAATTTACTTACATTACAAATGAAAGATGGTCATAACTAGTTCCAGTTTTGTTTAAGTTTTAACTGAGGTATGTCAAGTGTATCAGTTAAAATTCTCCAGAAAAACAAAACCAATAGGATATATATCTCCATATATATAGGGAGAGGGAGAAGGATTTTAACGAATTAACTCATGCAACTGTGAGGGCTGACAAGTTTGAAGTCTATGGAGCAGACCAGCAGGCTGGACAAGTATTAATGAATTGATGTTTCAGTCTTGAGTCCTAAATCTGTCGGGCAGGTTGGCAGTTGGGAAAGTTAGGCACAATTTCTTGAAGCAGAATTCATTTTTGGGGGGAAACTTCATATTGTACCCTTAAGGCCTTCAGCTGATTGGCTAAGGACCATCCATATTATTGAGAATATTCTTCTACTTAAAATGAATTGATTGTAAATGTTGATCACATCGACTAAATACCTCCACAGCAACGTCTAGACTAGTGTTTTACCAAACAAATGGGCACTATGGCCTAACCAAGTTAACACAAGAAATTAACCATCACAGTAGGTATGACACTTCACACAGTGAGAACTCAAGAAATAATAGCTATTATTTTGTTCCCACCTGTTCTTTCCTACAAATAATTCACTTAATTCAGAGCCTCATCATCTTTCACCTAGATATTTTAGTAGCTTATTTTCTAAAATTTGTTCTCACATCTCCAGTCATTCTAATTCAGCCACCATCCGCAGAAATATATGTTAAAATTGAATGTACTTAACAGACTCCCACAAGGTTATAAAATGTCATTGAAGTGACACTCAATGTCATTAATGTAACTAATGTGACAACTGGTCCATCATCTGAGCTCCTGCCACTCCAGCACAGAGCACATATTTTTCTCTACCTGAACCAAACTCTTTGTGATTTCTGGATGAAAGACACCTGACTCCTCTGTGTCTCTGAGTCATTCCTCTTGGTAGACCTAGCCATTTAAAAAAAAAAAATTTCCTTCAAAAGTCTTTGTTAAATACTTTCTCTCTTCTTCTCTGATAATTTTTTTCTAACCCTTACTCCATGCTAAGTGAATAGTTCGCTTTTTGGGATTCTGGCATTCCTCTCTCTCAAATAATTTTTAATACTATTTATTTATGTTGTTATCTTCTACCACTAACTGAGGGGGAACACCTAGAATACAGGATCTATTAAACATTTTTTCTCTCTCATTTGTTTTTCTCCTCCTCCATTTCTTCCTCCTCCTTTTTTGTAAAATTTACTGTAGCTCAAGGCAAAATGTAAGTTTAATAAATTTCTGGTTGCTTTGAGAAACTGATGAAAGACTTATTGTTATTTCTGTGTAAAACAAGAAACCAAAGGTTTTGAGGATTGTATAATATGGGAAAAAGTCATGTATGAGAAGATAGATCTTGTAAAGGAGGCCATGATATACCATAAGCTATTGAATCTGGAAGCAGGGAGCTAGGTGTAGAGGCCATCATTATAATCTGGAACTGCAATGATAATCAACCATATATCAATATAACAAGCTTTTATGCTGAGATCTAAAATTTGATTGCTATTCAAAGATAAAAATTATCTTATAAACCTAATTAATGTAAATGAAATGAGGCAAATATTAAAGAAGTGTATTTCTAAAGGTTTCTTTTTCTTTTTACAAAAATGTCCTCTTTGAGACTCCTTCCCTGAAATTGCTAATATTTGTTTAATTTTTTATATTGTTGAAAAATGTAATGTTTAGGTAATTCTTCAAATACAAACAAAAATTATCCACATCTCTCTATCACCTGTGTTTTTGCTATTACTAGGAATTTATCTTAAAATTTTATTAAAACCTCAAATTATGAGCAATGGTTTAGTTTCTTTGGGAGACTTTAAATTTGTGATATAATCTCTTACTTCATTACTAATAACAATTGTGAACTATTTGATCAATTTTTCCCGAGTAGTATTTAAGGTAGCACTTTTCAAACATATCTTTGAAATCTCACATTTCCTACTAAAAGTCAATGAGATTTTGCTTCATATTCCATTAAATATCTATGCTTTTTAATACAAAAGTAATTATTTTTAATCTCATCAGGATGTGTTCAAGAAATGTATGATAAGCATACACAAATATATTTGTGTGTTTGTATGCACACACACACATTCACACACGTTACTGCTGGTGCCAAGCACGTTCTGGGCTGAAAGTCTTGGCCTTAGAGTCCTATTATACCAGAGCTTTAATGGAAGTAGATGAGGAACAAGGCCAGCAATTGACGAATTCTATTTCAAGTTAGTTATTTAACTGTAGTTTGTATGATGCTCATTTCTAGTTGGTAGAATGATGCAGGGAAACCACTAGGGAGTGAAGCCAAACAATTTACACTATTAATATCAAGTGTTTGACATGATGAGTGTTTCCAATATAAATAAATTTGGACCACTTTTTTGTTGTTGTTTACCTCATTCATCTTCATTAGTGAAGATAACTGAAATCCGATTACCTTTTCATTTTATCTGAAACAAAATCGAATGTTCCTGCTTTTAGTTGCAGGGTATAAAAACAATCTCCCTTACCACATTGTAGTATTGCCCCATATCTAACGTCTAATGGGTCTCAAATCAAATTTGAGATCAGGAAAATCAATACCAAGCAGCTCATATCATTTATTTACTAAATATTTGGGCCAGAAATAGTAATAAACTGTAAGGGGATAAGTCTGTTTGGGTTTAATGGGGGGGAAAAAAACAGGAAACAAAACCTCACCTTTAAATTATCTTAACTATCTTCACTTATAAATTTGCAATGTATTTAGGTATATATTTACATGAATATATTACATATGTAAATGTAACAGGAAATACAATGTCACATAAATAAAATGCCTTAACATTGTGCAGGTATGTGGGACAAATATGCAATTATGTTATATAATTTAAAGGAAAATTAATTTGCATTGCTGTGTAAAAATCACCTACACATCAGGTGAGCAATCCCACAAACTTCCTTTAATTCATATTTAGGCAATATTTTAGTCATTTAGAAATAATAAGGTATTTGTAATGACTTTATCTTTTTTCTCTTGTTTTCCAATGTAAATCACAATTTCTGTGGCACGTCTTGTTTCATCCTGCTCATAACATAATATTAAATATTAAATTGTGGAGTAAGAACCATCAAAATCATGGGATTGTAGATTTTCTAACTGTTCACCTGGGTCATGCATAATCTAATATACACAATGTATACTTTAGACAGTTCCTGCTAAGGAAACTATTTGAATGAAAGAGCAATGTAGATGACAGTTAGTGAAAGTTCCTGAATATTAGACTCTTTCTGTATCATTGCAACTAAGCGCTTACACCATACCTATTATTCTTACATTTGATCAGACAGGGTTAACCTAGAGTGATATGTCAAGTTTCATTTGATCAGCAGTCTAAACAAAAACTTAAGAAAAATGATAAGATTATAATAGTATCTACCACAAGATGTGAACCATCTTACATAACCCCTGAGGTTAAAAGATCCCAATTAGGCAGAGTTCAGTACTTTAGTGATTTACTGTGTTTTATTAAATGGCATGCAGATAACTCCCCAAAGGGAACTGTGGTCTGCATTAATGTCGAGACTCTTCATGTCAGAAATAACTTCAGACATCTTTCAAGTGGTGTGGTAGAGGAGCTCTCCGCTTGCTCTCCTCCTTAAGAACAACCAAAGAAATGAAAATAAAAAAAGACAGTACAATTTTTATGTTACATTAATCAGCTACAGCCTAATCTATAATCTCAACGGAACATAGAGTAAAAAGAAATCCACAGCCAGAAAAGGATTGAAAGCAAATATACACTTTAATAGATTTTGAGAAACACAAAGAAATAGACAAACTGACAATTTTAGCTGGTAATTTCAACATTTCTCTTACAGTAAAACATGAAAAAAGTAGATAGGAAATCAGTAGGGTATAAAAGGTTTGATTAACACTATCAACCAAATTGACATAATCGACTTTTATAGAACACTATATGTGATAATTACAGAATACTTGACATGTTTAAGTGCACACACTGGGCCATAAAACAAGTATCAATAAATATAAAAGAATTGAATTCATACCAAATTATATTCTATGACCATAAAGGAATTAAGTAAGAAACAAACAAATTTTACACACACACACACACACACACACACACACACACACACACACTCTCTCCACATTTTTTATTGGAATACGAATATATCTAATAAGTAATATAGTATTATACATCTAGTGATTCTGAATGTAGATTTTGTCCTGTAAATATATTACACATGTGTCTCAAGACATACATTGAGAAAATTCATTGCAACACTATTTATAATTTTAAAAACAAAATAGAAGACTGAACACAACTTAAATTATTATTATGGGACTAGTAAAATAAACTATGGTACATAAAATAATAAAATAGTGACTTCTTCAGAAGCCATTAAAATTAATGATTCTTCTATATGTGCAGGAAAGCAGTGCTATCCAGTGATAAAAGAAAGGTCCATATTGTTACTTAGCATGTTATTATTACAATAGGTAAAACATTCCCCCAAAACAAAAATATCTATATATTATTTAAATATTTCCAGAATTATGAATAACAAGATGAAACTTAAATTACAGAATTGATTACTTTTAACATAGCATATGAAAATTAAAGCACATCAGGAACTTCCAAAGTAAAGAAAAAGGTGGCAAATTGTTATATATATGGATATAGATATAGATGCAGATATCTTATTTTCTGAAGTGTATGTCAGCAGCAATGATCACATACAATGGCATGAGATTCTACGTGTGTTACACGTGTCAAACATAATCAGAGACAAAATAGGGAAAGCAATATGTTAAAGTAAAAATAATTATTGTTTTAGAGTAGTAGAATAATGTTGGTATGGTCTTTAACGTTTATGTTATTATGTTACATATTGTTTTAAGTGTTAGAAGAGGAACTAGAATATGAGGAGCAAGGGACATAAAGGACTAGACATTTAAAGCTGAATTTAAAAAGCAACTGTGACTTGGACCTTAATTCTACTTGGTAAAAAAGACTTGCTAATAATATTGAAGTTGGCTATTAAAAGACCGTGGTAAGTATCTTATTTGTTTCTGATGTGCTCTGGAATGGAAGTAGAATGCAAAGATCATTATATTACAAATTGGTACTCAACTCTTAATTCTTTCAAAATTATCCTAATCACTGTTTCTAACATCCCAGAACTAAACTGGGATATGGGGGTGAATAATGTCAAGTTGGCTGTTCATTTAAGAAAAACAAAGCTTGTCCACTAACTTTTTTGATTTCCCTTATGTTATTCAAATTCAGTATCTTCCAAAAGAGCTTTTTTTGGGGAAAATTTTCACCATCTTCTAACCAATTTTATATCTCTAACATAAAAACCTGTCCCTGAAAGCATAATGACATTTGTAAACATACTAATAATTCAGATCTTTACACTTATTCTTGGAATTAGAATCAAAACTAGATATAAACCACTTCACCCTTTAAAATTATATAATTTACTTGACATTAATAAATTCTTCTTGAAAAGGAAAAATAAAAATACTACACCTGGATATGATGAAGAATGTACTGGAAAATAACCTTTCACTTCAGAGCAATCACAATGAAAAGAACTTTGACTAAAATTGAATAAATGGTTTTACAACCCTGATATAGAAGAGCAATTGCTCACACATCAATCTTCACGCAAATTCAGCAATAAACTCTGACAAAACCTTAAAACAAACCAACACATAAAAAGCTACCCAAGGACTCAAGCCTGAACAAAACCAGGCAGATTTTCGAAGGGAGTGAAATTTACAGGAAAATAGCTCACAAAATAGGATTCCTCCATTTTGTTAGTTTTGTTTAGAGTTTTAGCCTAAGGGCAACTGTAGTGGAGGCAGAGTGTGGGTATCAAGTAAGTTGAATCTCTGATAGGAAATCCGACTGTCGTTTAGGCAAGACCAAGAGAAAGAGCCCTTGAGTAGCTGTAACTGCCAGAGAATGAGAAGAATCCCTGAGAGAGTCAGAGCAGGGGTAACTAGTGGTGTGCACGTACTCAGGCAAGTGTTTGACTGAACTTCAACTATAAATGACAGAATTTTCCGACGAAGTCTTTAAAGCTGCTATTCTAACTGTATTTCCTGACCTTCATAAAAATAAATGCAAAAGGAATAAAAAGATAGGATATATCAGCATACAAATACACCTATCTTAAATCTATTGATATATTTATATATCTTATATATCCTACCTTTCATAGACAGATACACGAAGAATATTAAAAAGAAGAAAATGGACACTTGTAGAATTTCGAAACAGTATTTAAAATAAAAAAAAAATTGGATGGGATAAAGAGCAGAATGAAGATGAGAGAGAACAGAGTCTGTGGCACACAGATCAATAAACAACATTTAATCTGAAAAAATTAAGAAATTTACAAAAGAGAGAAAAACAAAACAAAACAAACAAACAAAAAACAGACCCCTAGGGACCTGTAGGAAAACTGCAAATCTCTAACAGATGGTGCTTGGAATCTCAGAAGAAAAGGAGAGAATGGAGCAGGAAAAATATCTGAAAAAAATGATAGAAATTCCAAAATGCAATAAAAAACACAAATTTACATATTCAAGGTGCTCAGTGAACTCCAAACACAATATATTCAAGGATAATCCCTCAAAAGTAAATGTTAGCGAAACTGTTGAAAACTAAAGATAAAGAGAAACTGTGGAAGTGAACAGAGACACAACACAACATATAAGTAGGACCAACATTAGAATGCTTACAGACTTCTCATTAAGAACCATGGGGAATCAAAGTGAAATAAAGACAGTTTCTGACTAAAGAAAAATAAGGGACCCACACTACAAAATATGCTCTTCAGTGAGAAAGAATAATATGATAGGGGAACTCGGATCTTCAGGAATGAAAGAAGAACATTGGAAATGTTAAGTATATGAGTAAACATAAACCACTAAATTTCCTCTTAATTTCTGTATAAAACGTATTACTGTTAAAAGCAAAAATGACAGTATGGGGGTATGTATGTCTGTATGTTGTGTGACAACTATAACGACAAAAATGGTGAGGGAGAAAGAAAATTATACATTTGTAACATTTCTATGTTTTACATGAGATTATTATCTTCCTTAATAATAATTTTCACAAGGCACTTTGAATTTTTAGTTACTGATAAAAATCAGATTGCCTGATAATTTTAGAATTTAAGGGTATGTGGTAAATGAGGTAGTTTATTTTCATCAAACAATAATAGCATCATGGATTCATAAACAATGTTCATTTTTTTTCTAACATTTGGATTACGAATACATTTGAAAAGTTGAAACAAGTCACTATAAAATGCCTTCAAAATGATTGACTTAAAATTTTTCAACTTTTTTCTAGAACATTATGAGCTTTTAAAATTTGAGGTTATTTTATTCTTATTCCCAAAACCTAAGATGTATTCGCTTGGTAGCTAATCTAGTTTTAATCATGCAGTTAATAAAATATTTATTAAGTAATCCTGTTTTGTTGGTAGCCTGTGTTTTGTTGGTAGCCTGTGTTACTCCCAAAGGTCATAACCTTCAATAATATAGTTAATAAAATGTGGAAAATATTTCCACAAAGAAACAACAGGACTTGAGTTTTTAAAGAATAAGAAGTTTGCTTTTAGAATCTGTAATGTGTTAGTCACTCTGGAGAATTCAGTTGGAAAAAAATGAAAGAACTGAACTGCTGAGATATTTAAAATCTAGAAGCATGAGGTGATAAGTCAAGAAATACTTTGGGCAAAACTGAAATTCGTATAGCACAATAGCATGCAGATAAAGCTAGGTGAGTACATGTTTTTTCTTTTTCTGTGGGGTGAGGGGAGTGAATAGTGGATTCGCTGTCTTAGAACCACAGTTTCTTAATTTCAGGTTTGAAAGTTATATACATTAATTTGCAGAAAAGAAATAGAGACCTTACAAAAGAAAAAAGTTACTTGCAAAGACTATTAGGGACAATTTGGTAAGTACTGTTAGAGAAATTAAAGATGAGAAAAATGAGGGATACACATAAAGAATGGGATTGTCTTGGTTGACCTGGAATGCTACAGTGGCTACGTATTTGCAGAGATTATAAATTGAGAGTCATTCTGGATTCTTGTACATCATAAAATGGAGTTTAAGATTACTCTAGCTGTTGTGTTCAGGATGGATTTATTCAAGAGGAGGGTGATTGTCTGAGATGGAGTCCATTGAAATGACCTTTCAATGGAGATTTGAAGTGCTAATCCTATATAGGTGTGGGAATGAAAAAGATGCACAGTTGGTAAATAATATGAATAAGAGTGATTTTTGTGGATTTTGATTGAAACAAGGCAATGTGAGGAGGCCGAGAAGATAAAGGTATCAGAAATAACTTCTTAAAGATGAGTTTGTTCTTACTGCTAGACTTTGCTGACATTGAGTTGACACATATCCCAAAGTGTTATGCAATTTGAAAGCTGTAAAAATAATTGGTTCTTAAGGTTACATATAGTGATCCATATATTAGTTCATTTTTACTTAAGAAGATATACTTTAAAATGCATTTTTAAGAGTTTTCCTAGAATATTGGACCTATAAAATGGTCTGGTTTTTTTTTTTTTTTTTTTTTTGGAATCATTGTCTAATGCATTTAGCACAGCAGTTCTCAACCTTTTTGGCACCAGGCACTGGTTTTGTAGAAGACAATTTTTTCCATGGACTGGGGCAGGGGAGGGATGGTTTTGGGAGATTTAAGAGCATTACATTTATTGTGCACTTGATTACTATGATTATAACATTGTAATATGTAATGAAACAATTATACAACTCACCATAATGCAGAATCAGTAGGAGCCCTGAGCTTGTTTTCCTGCAACTAGATAGTCCCATCTGGGGTAATGGGAGACACTGACACAATTAGATTTCATAAGGAGCATGCCACCTAGATAGCTCACATGCATGGTTCACAATAAGGTTCACACTCCTATGAGAACCTCATGCCACCACTGATCTGACAGGAGGCGGAGCTCAAGCAGGAATGTGAGCGATGGGAGTGGCTGTAAGCACAGATGAAGCCCATGGTTCACCTCCTGCTGTGAAGCCCAGTTCTTAACAGGCCACAGACTGGTCCATGGCCTGGGGGTTAGGGACCCCTAATTTAGAAAATACAATATAGTATCCTAGTTCTCAACATTCGCAATGAAATTAGAAATAGCTTTGAAGAGTCCTGAATTAAATATATATATATATATATATATAAAGAAACTGTCTTAATTTTATTTAACACAATGTTTCATAGTTGTTTTACCCCACACTAGGGATCAGCAACTTTTTTCTGTAAAGAATCATATAGTAAATATATTTGGCTTTGTAAGACAAGAGACAAAACCAAAGTTATGTAGGTGCTTCTACAATAAGATAGAAATCAAACCGCTACAAAATTTTATTGTAGTTATTCAAAATAAAATAATAAGTACAATGTTATGTAATACAAGCCTACAAATGAAAAAAATGAAATATGTTTTTGCAGGTTGCATGTAAGTATTCCCTGTCATCAAGTCCATTGCAAATGTTGGTCTACAAAAACCATTTTTACTTTGCATGCTATACAAAAAGAGGAACAGACTAGATTCTGCCTATGTATCCTAGTGTGTTGAACACCACTCTAGACCATGAAAACAAATTTTTTTGACATGATGCCTATTAGAATTTTTTTTTAGAAAATCACTCTTCTACAATGAGGAGCCAAAAAGTAGTAAATCTGATTGGAATGAACCTCATATGAGAATGATTTTTTTATGAAGAAGTAGAAACGTTTTGATGTAAAAAAAATTAAAAAAATAATTAAAAGAAATAGGTAGCAATGAGCATCTTGAGGTGTGAGTTGATAAGCAGCAGTCATGAGAGAGGGCAGCTGGAAATTGAGTCATAAAGGAAGACCTAGACGTCAGTTATGGCAAAGAAGGAGAAGGAACACTCAGAAGAGATTGAATTGAGAGTAGAGGTAAGTTGGTTGGTTATGGAGTGACAGTTTGAGAATGTAGAGTTAAAGGTTTTGGAATGCTGAATGGATAAAAAGCCAGGGATTATTGAACATTATTATGGGAATGATAAATTGATGGAAGGTCAATTTTTAGTGGCAACAGGCTTACAATCTGGGGATGACTGGTGTGAACAGGAATACATGACATGAAAGATTTATGTGATATTGTCTGTGTGAGGAAGGGGGTCACTAAGCCTAGTGTCAGGGAGACTTAGTTGCTGTGATGATGGGATTCATTGAAGCTCCTTGTTCTAGAATAAATGCTATTACAAAGCATCATATTTCTTGAAGCATGTGATGAAGGATTCTGGACAGGAGACTTGCACTGCAACCTGAGAGACTGTGCAGATAACTTAGAATCTGGGTGTACTTCCTCAATTCTCATTATCCTCCTTTTTGTCTTCCTCCTCCTTTTTCCCCTCTTTGGATTACTTTTACATTCTCAGGAATTTCAAGTCTCTTCAGAGAGACTTTTATGAAAGTTAGTTCATGTCAAACCATCATCTCTTTTAATCTCTTCTTATCCCATCATCCATTTATAAAGCCAGAATGTTTATGCACTGGTGACACCTGCCCCAGAAGTCCACTGCTCATTTTCTCCTCAGTCACATTAAATCTTTTCAAGAGTTATGATGCCGAGTCATCACTGAAGACTGAATTTGGACTTTCCTGTAAAGTCTAGCTGTCTAAACATCTGCTTTTCTGCTTCTATTCATTTCAGGTTAGTCTATTCTAATGTTAAAGTATCACACAGAACCACACCCACCTTCCACCAAAGGCTGATGTGAAAAACAGTCCATTTTCACTGAGCACATGTTGTTTGTTTACTGTATTAATACCTGTAGGAGACTCATATGGGAAAGGTGTTTGGAGGTTCAGTTTGAGATATCCTTTTACCTTAATTGTTATATTACAGTAATGTTGAGATTGTTGCTATCCTGTTCACTTACTGCTTTTCCACTAGAGCAGAATGCAAAGAAAATAATTTCCAGATCAATTAAAAATAAAACAAAAGATCTTAGGATCATGATTTTTAAATGTCTTGACTCTTTATCCATCATTGTATCTCCAAAATTGGACCAGTATTGTACTAGCCAGTTTTTAGGTGGAACTATTCAGAATAATCAAAGTAAACAGTGAATAATTTTTAAGAAAGTGTCTCCCTCTTATCTCTGTGCGTTTTCCCTACATCTCTCTTGTTCTCCAATAATTCTTTTACATTTGTATCTTGACCCCACTCTTTCTCTAGCATACATGTCTTTGCCTTAACATTTGCCTTTCTTTCCTTTGGGTTCTTTCTATACACAGCATTTTCAACATGTGTCATCTTGATCTGCCTTTTCTCATACTAGTTTCTCTACTTGGAATAGCCCTTTCTCTGCTTAGAAAAATCTACTGGATGGGCGCCGTGGCTCAAGCCTATAATCCCAACACCTTGGGAGGCCAAGGCAGGTGGATCACGAGGTCAGGAGTTCAAGACGAGCCTGGCCAAGATGGTGAAACCCTGTCTCTACTAAAAATATACAAAAATTAGCCAGGCATGGCGACAGGCGCCCGTAGTCCCAGCTACTTGGGATGCTGAGGCTGGAGAACCATTTGACCTGGGAGGCAGAGGTAGGAGTGAGGCAAGATCGCGCCACCGCACTCCAGCCTGGGAGACAGAGCAAGACTCTGTCTCAAAAAAAAAAAAAAAAAAAAATTATGAAAAGCCAGGCGCAGTGGCTCATGCCTGTCATCCCAGCATTTTGGGAGGCCGAGGGAGGCGGATCACCTGAGGTCAGGAGTTCAAGACCAGCCTGACCAACATGGAGAAACTCTGTCTCTACTAAAAACACAAAATTAGCTGGGCGTGGTGGCACATGCCTGTAATCCCAGCTACTTAGGAGGCTGAGGCAGGAGAATCACTTGAACCCAGGAGGTGGCGGTTGCAATGAGCCGAGATCGCGCCAATGCACTCCAGCCTGGGCAACAAGAGCAAAACTCCGTCTCAAAAAAAAAAAAAAAAAAAAAAAAGAAAGAAAAGAAAAAGAAAAATCTACTGGAACTTGTTGGCCCAGCTAAAATACCATGGCTCATCTGAAGCCTTTTTTTGACCCTCCCATCTCTCAACCAGATTCAGACTGTTTCATGACATTCCCTCAGATTCCAACAACACTTTCTGCTTCGCTATATTATAAACATACCATACCATATTTGGTAATTTGTTAGCTCTTCCTTATCCTTCTCATGTTAAATTGAGAATTGTTCAGCAACAGGGGCTGTGACTTAGTCGCTATTGTTTCACAGACACATTAGGACTGCAGTGAAACTGTAGAGGAATGAGTGAACTGTATAATCATCACGTCTCCGTGCATACCCGCACAATTGTACACATGCACACTTTTCTTTTTTCTTCTATCTTTACATTTTCTTTATTAATACATTTTAAAACTATTTCTCCCAAATAGCAAATATATATTTACATGTTTCTTTAAATGATATGAAACTTACAATATCATTTGGCATTAACATTTGACAAAAATGCTATTTTTCCAGGAAGTCTACCTAGCTGTTCTGACCAAGGTATCTTTTCTGTTTTGTGTATCAATGTCTTCTCCAATGAACAAGCAAATAATACAAATACAGACATTGATCCATATTTATGCAATGGCAAGTGAATGCGGTTCACTAAGGCGGAAGCTGCCTTTTAGAAGGATTAAGAGATCTAATCTAAACCATATACTTTGCTGGTAATTTCAGCTGAAGAATTTGGTTTTTCTTCTTTGTGGAACGTGTAGTAACCCAGTATTGTTGTTGTCACTGAATTGGACAATATCAATGAAAACACTAGCAGACAGTTTATGTTTTGTTATATTGGAAAATGCAGTTAGAACTGAAGGGAGGACCAACAGGGAATAATTTATTGCAAACAACCCAACATGAATTACTGAGAATTAGGCATTACTCTGTTGAATACTTTTTGACATGCTTTTCAGCCCCAAATTAAAAGTTATTAGGGCATATTGTGATGTAGTTATGTATACATCATAGGTAGTATGTAGTTGTATCCCATTGTAACAGACAGATTAACTGAAGTACGAGGGATAGCCAATTCTATAGAATCTCATAGGGAGAAAAAGACTCAGGGAAGTATTCTAACTGCCTTTTATTGCGGATCCTAAGTTATGCTTGAATTTAAGTGATTCTCATCCTCAGTCATCATGGGTTCAATTACATTTAAGTTCATAAGAATACTAACAGGAGTAAATTAATTCTGGACATGGGCATTTTGGAACCAAGTTCGCTTTTCTATGATTATTTTACTGGTGTACATTGTGTTTGAAGAATATAGTAAAAAAAAAGTTGGATGTTTCTGTATTGCAAAAACAAACAAACAAACAAACACTATTTATTCATTTGTGGCCAAAGGTGCCTTGAAATTTTATGAAGTAGTATAAAAAGTCAAGCTGTGGGAAAAATGTGCATGGGAGATAACCAAGCCTAGTCCCACCTTCTGCATTTTTCAGTTTGTTTTCTTATCAGCCTGCCCATAAACTGGAAAAGCATTAGGCACAAACCCACTGATAAGCATATGAGAATTTCTTCTAGTGTCCCTCATTCTTCTTTATGGAATCTGTTATAAGAATTTTGGAATCCCCATTTGAAATACAAAGAGTTACAATACAAATGTAAAAACAAATTATTGTAACGTCAGAGGCTGAAATGCATATGCAGGATCCCTTTTGTTAATCTTTGGATGAATGAGAGGGAGGGACACCTACCTGGGAAGAAAGAGTAGTAAATTCAGCTCACTACCAACAGAAATGACAGTGAAGGACTTTCTTAACATTGAGGCTTTGAAGGTTAAACTGTTGCATGTCACTTTCCAATTAGGATGCCTGGGAGTAAGCAACAGAAATAGACTCAGGCTTACTTCAAGAGAAAATGAATTCATTAAAAATATTACTGGGTGCAGCACACCAACATGGCACATGTATACATGTGTAACCTGCACGTTGTGCACATGTACCCTAAAACTTAAAGTATAATAAAAAATAAATAAAAAATAAATAAATAAATAAGAGGACAGGCTTTGGAGCCAGGCTGCCTGTATTTGTGTTAAGTTTCACCATTACCTACCAGCTGTGTAAACTTGGGCAAGTTACTTAATGTCTTTGTCCTCAGTTTCCTCATCTGTAAAGGATAATTTTAACCACTTCTTAGGTTTTTGTGAGTGCTTAGAAGCAACCAACAAATGTTAGTTCTCAAAAAAAAAATATATATGTATGTATATAAGTTCTCAGAATCAAAGAGAAAGTTGGAATTTCAGGACTGGAAAATGAACAGGAGTTAGGAGGGCCTACACGTTTTTGAACATAGGAATGTGTTCAGGAAAATCTGATGAGGTTGCTGCAACTGGAAGCCACGTGAATGGGCATGCACCACATCACCCTTGCTGGATGCTGAGGGTCTGCTGTTGCTCTTGCGAATAATTTTTCAATTACAGTTTTATTATCTCAAAATTCAGGGTCCTGGGTGGGGGCATGACCTAAGGATATTTTATCTGGATTTTGTCTTATGGTTAAAGACTGGGTTGTACTTTCCACTGATACTCACATAATACAAGGATCCTCCAAAATAGAAAGGGAAGTCAGATGTGGAGTAGCCAAATAAGAGGAAAAAAATGTATACTAGGTAGCCGGTATAGAGAAAATGGGTGCGTGGTCATTAATTTACCATCTTTAAATGCATATACTTATTTTCAGCGTAACTGGATAAAAATGTCTGATTCTTTCTAAATTGTAATTATATCTTTTATCTTTTCTAGCAAATTACTTACTACTAGCTTCCAGTAATTAAAAAAAAAAAAATCAAACATCTATGTACAGGTACACTGACCAATATCCATGAACTGATTTTGGTTGATTTAAACCTGTAGACAACCATGAGAAGTATTAATATCACATCTTTACAAATGAGAAAACAGACTCAGAGAGATGAAGTAACACGATTGCCCAAATATTACAAAGAGCAATTGACACTGTCAGGATGAGATCTCATGTCTCTGTGATAGAAATTTCATTTTTCTACAGAACCATGAAAAAAGTTATCTTTCAGATAACGTAGCTGTCATTTCATTCACTATTGACTATCTCTACATTTCTTAGATCTCTTTTTTTCTGTATTTTTTTCTTTACTAAAAATCGTGCTTTTATTTTTATTTTCTATTTTGAGTTCTATTGCAATCAGTCATATTAGGCAGTAACATTTTCTCCTAAATTAATGCCCTCATCCATTGGTTTTATTTTTCCTTATTCTCCATATCTGTATTAATTTGTGTATGGTTTTAATGAAAAGTCACATTATAAAATAAGATCTTGTATTTTTTTAATCTTTATAACCTCAAGGCTCAGCACAGGGCCTAGCACATAGGAGGTGCCTGATACATATTTGCTTTATGATAATGGGCTCGAAGAAGGAAAATAAGGCATGACAATGGGGTGGCAAAGGAAAAGTGAAAAAGGAGAAAGTTGGGTAGAGAAGAAAATGGATATGCAATGACTAGATAAAACCATCTTCTAGCACTTCGACCCGCATAAATCAACACATAAGGGATTTTTAAATAACAGTTATAATATTGATAACTGTTTGTCTCCTGTGGGTTCCAGTTTATTTCTCGGGGCCTGTAAATATTTTTCTTAATGTTTTCAATTACCAAAATGATTTATTCATCACGAGGTCTTCTCTTATGCTAAATAAGTTTTATGAACTGACATAGCCAAGAGAAAGTCTGTTATTATATTCCTTATATTCCATTTATTGGAGTTGGTCTTTTTGCTAACTTTTATCTGGTATCCATTTATCTCCTAAAAAGCGTGGATTAAAAGATAAGGCTTTAGGACTGGTAAGTGACTTACATAATTATGAATTTAAGACAAAGGGACATATTTCATTTCTTTGAAAATGCATAAAGTGCTGCAAAGGTTTTAAGAAATAAGAACTCTTTGAAAGGGCTTCCTGATATGAATAATTGCAAATGTCAAGGGATGAGAGTTTCCTGATAGTGATTCTATTTCTAGAATGTCAGGTACTGATGCAAAGGTGACATGAGTGATTTGAATGAGTTGTTCTATGTCTCAGAGATGGTCCCATAGAGAAATGAAAGCAGTGCTTTATAACCAACAGAGAGATTTATTTAAGACCAAAATGTCAGAGGTAATCAAACTGTTTAATTTGTGCTCATAGTTTTGCTTTGCATTATATAACTGGACACACAGAATTTATTGTATACTGACAAATTATGGAAACAGAATTTTATAAAAAGTAAAGTTGAATGCTGCATTGTGGCTTTCAGTAAATTTTGATAAAAGTCTTTATGGTAATATTCTTAATGAAGTATAAATGCTGATATATATTCTATATAACATTTTTCCTTTTGCTTTAAGTTTATATTAGCATGCATGCAACAAAATATACAGAACTGATCCTCGTGAACACTTCCATGTGCATGGTGCCAAGTGCAGAAACAAAACATCGTTCACACTATTGAAAAACCTGTATTCTGACACCTACCAGTAACTATTTACCCACAAAGATAATCATTATCCTGATTTGTAACATCGTTATTGGCTATCACAAATAGCATTACCAAGAACATTTTTGTATGCGTCTTTTGATACAGAAATCTATCTATCTACCCATATAAGTTTCTGTTAGGTATATACCTTAGAGTGGAGTTGCTGAGTCAGACCTATGCTCAGCTTTGGTAAGAACTGTCAAAAGGATTGACAAATTGATTGTACCAATTTATTCTCCCACCAGCAGTGCACGAGGGTTCCAATTGCTTCACATCCTTGGCAACACTTATTAGTGGCTCTCTTTTTCATTTTAGCCATTCTAATTATAATACCAAAATATTTTGTGTGTGTGTTTGCTTATATATACTCCTACTACCAAAAGAATGTAAGTGACATAAATCAAAATAAGCACTTTTCATTTATCAATTTATACATCAAGATTTTAAAGAGTAATTCCTCCAGATGGTTTCTAGACTAAAATGCAGCATATTGCTTAGAGGAGGAAACTTTTCTTCAATATTCGATGATCCATCTAAAAATATGTCTTAAATATTTCAAAAATTTATATTTATTAAACAAATATAAAGGTTTTGCAACAGCTTATGTAGATGATGGAATTCAAGGTGTCTTATTCTTACAATATCTCTGATAAAAAATAACTGTAAATGTACTTATATGTTTTAATATGGTCTATATGATAATACTTTTTTATTTATTGAAATAAAATATAGCATGTTGGAGGTTTCTATGTGAAATAGAAACCTAATAGTGATTCTGTTTCACTGAAGAATTTCCATGTGTCTCATTTATTTCCAAAACAATATTACATCAAATTAAAAGACAAATATTTAGTTTATTCTAAGATGTGTTCTTAAAGACATTGATAAACTGGCATGACTAAAAAATTAAATGAAATCAAATTTTTACCTCATAAAACAAAAGGTCTAAGGTTCCAGATAAATTTTGAAGCCAGTGTTTTGTCAGGGGCCATGGTAAGGCTGGAATTTGGGTGGTGGGCCGGGAGCCAAAAAGAGCTGAGGATATGGTTGCTGGAATGTTCAAGTTCTATTAGGCAGGGAAGAAGGTGAGAACTTCATAGGCTTTGAAAGATATGCAACCAGTGCTAAAAAGAGCCGCAGTGATTGACTCTGGAAGGTGAAGCTTAGGATTCAAGTGGGAGATACTAAAACATTGGCATTGGAATTCACAAACATTTTAGGCATGTACATTTAAGACATATGTTAGGAATCATGACTCCATTTTGCCAATTATAATTCCTGTTAGGCAGAATATCTGAATCATTCTTCTGCCAGCAGTCCCCCATGTCCATCACCTATTCTGTAACTATCACCAATTATTTTCCCCAATATTTTCCTAAAGCTGATTAAACACTCTTGGGTCATAAGAAATTTACATTTGTCAATAACTGAAAAAAGTTGGTTCAAACTATGTGATCTAGCCTTCAAGCTGCCCTATGGTTTTGTACAAATTTAACCTTTAGAGCAACCATATCATCATATGTATATTATCACAAAAATTAATGTTGGTACTTTATTCATAAACATGTATAATTTACATACATAAACTTGTATAAGTCATGTACAACAATAAATATAGTGACTAATCATCAGGGAAATGCAAATCAAAACTACAATGAGATACCACTTCACACCTGTCAAGACAGCTATTATAAAAAAAAAAGTGTTGGTAAAAATGTGGAGAAATTGGAACTCTCATACACTGTTCAGTATACAAAATAATCCAGGTACTATACGAAGACAGCATGAAAGTTCCTCAGTAAATTAAAAATAAAACTACCTTATGATCTAGCCGTGCCAGTTCTGGGTATTTATTCAAAATAATTGAAATTGGAATCTCAAAGAGTTATTAGCACTCCTATGTTCATTGCAGCCCTATTCACAATAGCCAGGATGTAGAAACAGTCTCAATGTCCATCAACAGATAAATGGTTAATGTGCCATATACATGCAATGGAATACTATGCAGGTTTTAAAAAGAAGGAAATTGTGCAATATGCAACAACACAAATGAACCTTGAAGACATTAGGCTAAGTGAAATAAGCCAGGCACAGAAAGACAAATACTGCATGATTCCCCTTTTATGGGGAATCAAAAATAGTCAAATACATAGATTTTAAGAGTGAAATGGTGATTGCAAGGGGCTGAGGGAGAAGGGAAAATGGGAAGTTACTAATCAACCGACACAGAATTTCAGTTGAGTGAGATTAGTAAGCTCTAGAGATCAGCTGGACAACATTATACCTACAGTCAATGATAATTCATTGTACGCTTACAGATTTAAGAGGGTAGATTTCCTGTTGTGTTCTTATCACACAATTTTTTTAACTCTTTGCAATATTTTCCTAGCCTTTTCTGCTTGACTACCTGCTTTCCACTTCTGTACCCCACTGTACCTCCTCCCATATTAAAAGGCAAACACAGATCCTTCCATAGTCTCTTCATGCTTTTGTGTATTTGTAAAATAGAGTCATGTATCACTTGATGGGGATATGTTCTGAGAAACGTGTCGTTACGCAATTTTGTCGTTGTGCAAACATCATAGGGTATATCTATACACACCTATTTTGTATAGCCTACTAGGAATAGGCTATATGGTACAGTTTATTGGTCCTAAGCTACAAACCTCTAAAGCATGTTACTATATTGAATATTGTGGGCAACTGCAACACAACGGTATGTATCTTTGTATCAAACATATAGACACGTAGAAAAGACACAGAAAAAATAGAATATTAAAATCTCATGGACCACCCTTATGTATGTGGTCTGTTACCGACCAAAACATTGTAATGCAGTGCATGGCTATATTGTACAAGCAACTATAGTCATCCATTTTTGTACTGTTTCAGTAAAGGTTTCCAAATGGGAAAACAGATATTACTCTAGTGGTCCAGATAGAAGAGATTTAATACAGATAATTGTTACAAACAGTGTCGTAAAGGCTGGAGGGGCCAAAGTGGTGGTATGCAGAACCTGTAAACACATGTTGCCGTTATCAAGGCAGGACCCCGGGCTTACACTCCCGTCACCACTGCCACTGAGGTCCTATTGCTGAGGCTGGTGTGCCAGAGCCACTGCCAGAGGCTTCCGGTTTCTGACTGGTAGAGCTCTCCTTTTTTTGCAGAAAGTAACTAGAAGTCAACTAGCAAAGAAGCTGAGAAGACTATTTTGAAAGGAAGTCTTAGAAATGTAAATTTCAGGCTTTCTAACCACCCCCAGTAATAAAAAACCATATAGGGGCAGCAGCGGGACTGACGACCAACAGACAACCTCCAATGTTTATGTGTCGGCGAGATTACTGATAGTATAAATTTATGTTAGTATTGTCATTGTCTGGTATACAAAGATGGGCTTCCGTCGAATTCTTTGTTGTTTTTGCTTTTCTTTGGTTTTCTCTCTTGCTTTTGTCACTTGACGATATCTCAGTGAAATTTTTCCAAGTCAACTTTATTCTTTTCCAAGCACAAATTTATTCTCTTCAAGTCATGAATGTTATTATATGGTGTGGATGAATAGTAATCCATCCAGGCATTCGATTATGATGAGTTTTCATCTTGACTCTGACAATTACGAAGAGTTTTCACTTTGACTCTTCTTTTTAGTTGAAATAAACATCACTGCTCATTGCTCTCTGCAGGTTGGTGTATTTTGTTGTTGTTGTTGTTGTTTTTTGTTTTTTTTTTTTTTTACACGGCTAGGTCCCAGGTTTAGGATTGCTGGTGAGATGGAATATGTTTTGTTTGCAATTGCCATTTTATATTCCCAAATGGGAATAACACATTATAATTTCACAACTAAATTAGAAAAGGACAGTTTTCACTGCATCCCTGCCACCAATAGGCATTATCTGGGATACTTTCTTAATTACAATTTTATTTCCCAGAAAGCAAGCCATGGTGGAATGAATGCAAATACTATCCCAACTCCAGTGTAACTTTACAGATCTTTCCAAACCATTATAATGCATGGAGATTTTTGAATCATTCACCATTTTCAAATTTAAAATTGTCATGAAAATTACTCAAATCAGTGAAGGCAGAATAGCGTTTCAGTAATATTTCAGCTAAAACAAGTCTAATGTTTAATTATGTATCTTTTATTTTGTGTTTTTATTTTCTTTTAAGATGGCTAAAATTTTGTGAGAGTGCTGCTATTGTAGGTTTGTATCTGCCATTGTCGCAGGTTGAATCACTTATGGTAAGCTAATTTATATTGTAACTGCATTCCAACTCAAGATCTTCATAGACTTTAATATCAAATTTTCATTTCTTGCCACATGTTCATCACAAGTTGTATGTCAGTGTGGAGAGAATCTGCCTAATGGCTCTTCACCCAGAAATCCAGGCTGCTAGGTGTCCAGCATCTGGTGAATTTGCTGGTAGTTGTGGCAGAAGAGAAGGTGGCAAATTAAAAATTGACTCTTAAAGACTTCTGCCCAGCAGTGATGTATATTGGGTCCAATCATTTGTTAATGAGCAACATTGACTAACACATTGATTCGAATATCCCTTGAAACATTTATGACATATTTCCTAACTTGACATAATGCAGCACATAGTATTTCAATTGTTCTTCTATTTTTTTTTGTGGTGACTTTACCCATTTTGAATTATTTTATGGGTAGAGTAAGACCATTGATTTTGAAAAACTGGAAGTTGACTGGCTCTGCAAATTGAAGAGTTAGCTGGTAAAATAGCTTTCCCTTTTTATTTGTTGTGCTGCTTAGGTGTTGTGTTTGTTCTTGCATTGCTATAGAGAAACACCTGAGACTGGGTAATTTATAAAGAAAAGAGGTTTAAGTGATTCAAGGTTCTGCAGGTTGTGCAAGCATGGCATACACATCTGCTCGGCTTCTGGGAAGGCCTCACTGGTGTTTACTCATGGCAGAAGGTAAAGCAGGAGCAGGCATATCACATGGCTAGAGAAGCAGTAAGACAGAGTGGGGTGGTGGGATGCCACACACTTTCGAACAGCCAGATCTCACACGAACCCACTCATATTGTGAGGACGGCACCCAGCTGTGAGGGATGCATGCCCATGACCTAAACACCTCCCACCAGGCCTCATCTCCAACACTAGGGATTACATCTCAAAATGAGATTTGGCAGGGACATAGATCTAAACCATATCAGGCGACTCACTGAAGAAAATAATAGTATAAAATATTATGGCAGTTTAATCAATAACATTAGGATAAATAGCATTAGTGTGTGTCATATTTTCATTGTGATTAAATCTAAATGCAGCCCTTGATCATTGTCATTGGGGTCCAGTTTAATTTCCTCAGAGTGCTCAGACAGTACCTGGGGATACTTGCAGCTCTCAAATTGTTACTAATGGTTAGAGTTTTCAATTATTTTTGAAACAAATACAACTCAAGGATAAACTTTGATAATTGAAAAGGGATTAGGATGTTAAAAATGCACACTTTCATGAAGACAGCTACTTATTTTTTATCCACTGAAGAAAACATCTTATGGACATTCTCTCATATTACAGCTTTCAGTGGCATGGCATTAGAATTCTGATTCCATATTGCTTGTTCTTCTACATTGAAGCAGATGTCAGTTTCATATGGATTCTGAGTATCCAGTCTGTCAAATATAAATGTAATTACTGGTCAATAGTTTTGGATAATTTTTACATCTGTTGAAGTTGTGGAGGTTTTATTAATTATTTTGACTTAGATTTTATTCCCTTCAGAAAGCTGAGAATTCAGAACCATATTACTTTGGGTGAGGTCACCTCCACTCCTAATAAGAGCAATATGTGCTGAGTAGTCCCGGTGTGCATGATCTGTGCTGTTATGACTCACAAGTCCCACTAGAAGTTTCAGGTACAGGAAAGGAATTTCCTCCAAATAAGGAAAACGTTGTGCACCTGTGTTGTATACTGTTTGTGAAAAGCAAGAGGATGTAGTATTGGAAAGGTGTAAAGCTTATGCTTTAGTTGGCTAGAACAAAGTTCATATTTTTTCTCAGTTATCAGGGGTCGTGAAAGTCATTAAATCCAACTTCTATCCAGTGTTAGGGAATCTGAGAGGTAATTCTCAAACTTTTGCCTAAGTGTGATCCACATAATTTTAGTAATAAGCTTATTTCCTATTTCATTGTCTCACCTGAGAACTTTCTAACTGAGGTGGAAGCAATAAATATTATTTGTTAATAGCTCTCTCCTCCTCCATGTCCCTTGCCTTCCTACTATTAATACTACCACTATTGCTGCTACTGTTCTGCTCCTACTCCTAATACATATTTAACTAATATAACATGTACTCTACCAGACAAAACGTTGGGATAATTTACATATCAGCTAAAGCTGTAGAGGCTTCATTTTGACTTAGAGTTTGTTGCCTCCAACACTCTTAACATTGTGAACCAGGTTATCTTGTGTACAGTCCACCCTGCTTTTAGTAATACCCCAATGTGCTATTTATTCTGCATTCATCATCTCATTTACTCTTCACCACAGATCTGTAAGGTATGTGTGAGCCTTATTCACATTTTATAAAGTAGAGGACCGAGATTTAGAAAGGTTAAGAATGTTATCAAGGTCATTAGGATTTTAAATTTAGGCTGCCTGGCTATAAAGTCCACGCTTGTAACCACCCTGCAGTACCCTCCTTTCATTGTTTTTATTTATTTTTAAATTCTTACTCTGATATTGAGATTCTCACCTGTGGTATAAAAAAGATCCTGTTGTAGCGGTGGAATTAATAATTAAATACACCCACCTGTAAATGCTTGTTAAATCACCAGAATTAAAATAGAATATCCATGAAATGTTCTAGATGTTCAAATTGCTCTTGTCACTGTGCACACCAAGATTTAAAACCTAGGGCCTCGTAAGTATTCAGACAATTGTCTTGGAAGATCTTGTGTTTTCTCTATTTGCTACTGTGTGTTAATTCTATACCATGCTAGGATACAGGGGCCCTATGCCATCTTTCACCTTCTTAGTAGAATGTTTGATCTAAATAGCAATTTGGCTTGCCCTGGACAATGTTGTGCTTCCCCTAACCAAAGAAACATGGTTCTCTGGAAGATTATAGTACCACATTGGTCAGCAGTTTCAAGTATTTGGCATTGAAGACATTGTAAAGCGAATTATAAATAATTTTATCCTGAATTATCTATATCATAGGCACATTGTGACATTGTTTAGTTTGCACCATTGTTCCTGTTGTTGGGGCTATTGTTGATATTATTTTGGCAGACTGTGCTATGTTCAAATTAAGACTCTCTCTGGAACTCTCAGTTATAAGGTTATTATTATTGCCGTACTATTTACAAAAGAGTTGCCAAGACTGGTGCACTGGAAGCTGTGTTCCACTTATCAATTCAAAGGAATTTTAGTATCGTTTCTACCATCAGGGAATCTGTGAGCTGAGCTAGATAGAATCAGAGAGATTATCTAGAGATTATTTTATTGATCACCAAATGCATTTTTGTAAAAGTAAAGACCCCAAATTGAAGCTCTTCAAACAGTCAGTTGGTGTTACTAAAATGGCTTATAGTTACAGTTATCAGTCTCTTGAGTAAGCAAAATGTTATCTCAAAGCCAAAACAATTTTGTGGTATGGAGAGAGATTATTAAGTAGTTGAAATATTGTTGCTGAAAATATGGATTTAAAAGCATCAATACCAAGTGCCATGGAATTTCCAAATGACAACTTGATATTGATACAATAAAACAGAAAAAGCCATTAATAATTGAAAGCAATAAAAACATATGCCTTGAATAAAAACAACTTGAAGCCCGTAAATAATACAACATGGCTATTCAGTGATCATTCTGTAATATTAAAGTTTCAAAAGGCATCCTAACGTGTTGGATTTTTTGTTTGTTTCACATTTCCTGATCCAGATTTATATTTTTGAAAATAATATCTACTATCAACCTGATATAAAGAGCAGTTCATTGCGACTGACATCTTCTGGAAAAGAAGAAATAATTTTTAATGGGATTGCTGACTGGTTATATGAAGGTGAGTTGATCAGATTTAGTTTCAAAGGAAACAAATGACATATTTTTATACAAAATCTACCAAAAAAAATCTATTCATTCCGGAGCAATACTTACAGTACAGTTTCTTCTCATTTTCTCTCAAAATTGCCCTCATGCTTTCATATCTTTGCATGTGCTTATATTTTGTGTGGTTGAGATTTACATCTACTTACATGATTCCATGTTTGGTGTATATATGTACATATAGGCTAGATAGATATTATTTGTGAGGACAACTAATGAAAGTAAATGGTTACCTTATGTCACTTTGGAATTAGATGCTGAATTTTTTCTGACTCTCTGGGAAAGAAGAAACAGAAACCTTTATTTCTAAAAAAAAAAAAAAAAAATGCATAAAAAGCCACCTGATTTTAGTTATTTCCATTAGGGACATTCTGTCACACTTTATAAGCTATTGCAGAGGGAGCAAAATAAAACCCACATAAAGAGTTATTTTCAATATCTATTGAATCAAGTTTTAGTAATAGCTGAGAATATAAAAATAAATCAGGTGATGAAAATTTATCCAGTTTTTATCACGTACCAATTATCAGCTGAGTTCTACATATAGATTGCCTGGGCAAGACTCAAAGTATGAGTTTATTACCTATGTTTCAGATTCTTCAGCTGATTTTGGCAAAATATGTCAAGATTTAAAGTAAGTCTACTTTATTATAAATTATAAAGCTATGAATCATTCAAAAAGTGAATTTTATTTCATGGGCAATATTTGCAAATGTAATCTCTCTACCTCAGATTTGACATTTTTAATTCTATAAGAAAAGTGAATAACTTAGACCAATTATTCATTCATTCACTCTTTCACTCAAATGATATCATTGAAGGCCTACTGTATTCTGGATAGATGTCTAGGTGCCAGGATAAAAGACGGAGCAAAAAGTACTGCTCTAATAAACCGTATATTTACGTGAAATATTTTGTTAGGTGGAGCTATTTTATTAAAGAAGAGATGTTGTAACCCTTGAGATTTATATGTATATGTGTACATGTATATTTATATCTATAATAGATTTCTGTGTACATGCCAGCATGAAATAAGATTTTTAGAGGCTACAATTTATTGTGAAGAGCAGTGAGAGCTTCCCCGAAAATATTAACAATAAGTATGCTGTGAAAGTATATATTAGAAAAAGAAATACACAGGTAAGGAGTGTTCATTGGTTGAGAGTTACAGAATCTAAATCTGGCTTTTCTATTTCAAAGAGATACATTACTGGAGGGGACTGGGATGGCCCTCAGAATTTAATAAACAGGTGGACAACACATTTAAAATCTGGTTAGTTCTGGCAGTCTAGGTAGCAGGAGCTAATTGAAGTGCAGAGACTAAGACGTGCCCTTTTTCTTCAAAATATTATTGGTACTGTGTGACACCCTGACAGATGAAGAAACCATGTTAATGCAGTGTGGTAAGTAGTTGAATCTTAATCAACACAGAATTCTATGGAAGAACAAAGGAATGATACCATTCTAGGGATTTGCAAGCATTTTTTCTAAAGGAGAAACCCTGGCCAACAACAGTAGCTCAAGCCTGTAATCTCAGAGCTGTGGGAGGCCAAGGTGGGAGAATTATCCAAAGCCAGGAGTTCCATACCAGCCTAGACAAAATAGCAAGGTTTTCATTTCTACTAAAAAATTTTTAAAAATTAGCCAGATGTGATGGCATGCACCTGTGTTCCCAGCTGAAGTGAGAGGATTGTTAATGAGAGAGGATTGCTTGAGCTCGGGAGTTGAAGACTGCAATGAGCTATGATCCAGGCCCCTGAACTCCAGCTTAGGCAACAGAGTGAGATCCTTACCTCTTAAAACAAGGGAGAGAGAGAAAAAGAGAGAGAGAGAGAAGAGAGAGAGAGCATCTGAGTCAAGCCTGAACAGTTAACAAGTGTTACGCATGAGAAGAAATTAGGAAGGAAAAATCTAAGCAGATGTAACAATTTGCAAAAACCCACAAGTGTGTCCCTAGGGAACCAAAGTCTCCTTGATATAATTGGGCCATAAAATTTGAGACAAAGGAAGGTAGCAAGAAGCGAGGGATAGTGACCTCTATCAATGATTTGGAATTTCAATTATTTTCCTACCATTTAATAGGAAAACTAATAGAAGTTTTCAAGTAAGGGAGTGACAAGATTGGATCTTCCATATGAACAGATTGTTTTTGTGACAGCAGGAACCTGGGGTCTAAGAGTGGAAAGAAACGGTGAGCGGCTGTAAGGCTTCTTCTATGTTCTATCAAGAGATAATGAGCAATGGAACTAGGGTTAAAGCAGTAAAAAGGAGGAAAGACTCTAAAATTGATGAGACAATGAAATATATAGGTCTTAGTGGCTAAGCAGATGGGGTGAATGATAAGAAGTCAAGGATGATTCTGTGTCTTCTGGTTTGGGTCACTAGTAAGTAGTGGTGGCAGACATAGTGAGCAAGCATTAACAAGGAGCAGTGGGTTTCAGGGAAGAGAAGACTAGATTAGCAGCAATGCGGGCATTGAACCACGTACTGACGTGCTCCCTTGGTGATAAAAGGTGGTCTGTAACGTCGATGAAGTTTTCAGTCAACTGAGGGTATACTCAATGTAGACCATGCTTATTGTGCTGCTCCGTCCCGAATTAAGATGACTTGGGTCTCTGTCCTATTGAAAAGGCTTCATACATTTATAAGGAAATTTTAAGGAGAGAAATTAGAGACCGTTTCCTGACAAATACGGTAATTTTCTTAACTAAAGAATAAAAATCTATGTATTCGGTCTGAGAGTAAACTGTTTGTAGGGGTTGTGGAGAGCAGAACAAACGGGTAATACAAACTTTTGTGATGATGCTGTAGGTCTGACGCATTCCAAAGGGGAAAGGAAAAAGTATAGTTTTTGCCATACTTTGGGCTCCTATGTTGCCGTTAACTAGGAAATGCTGTACGTGTATGTGATTTAATCATCAAAATGTTTGTGCATCTAATCATTTATGAAGAAACTAAGACGCACCCAGTGCTGTGGCTCATGCCAGCAATCCTAGCACTTTGAGGGGGCGAGGTGGGCAGATCACTTGAGCCCAGGATTTCAAGACCAGCCTGGGCAATATGGCAAAATCCTGTCTCTACTAAAAATACAAAAAAAGGCTGGGTGTGGTGGCTCATACCTGTAATCCCAGCATTTTGGGAGGCCAAGGCCGGTGGATCATGAGGTCAGGAGATTGAGACCATCCTGGCCAACATGGTGAAACCCCGTCTCTACTAAAAATACAAAAATTAGCTGGGCATGCTGGTGCGTACCTGTAATCCCAGCTACTCGGGAGGCTGAGGCAGGAAAATCGCTTGAACCAGGGAGTTGGAGGTTGCAGAGCCAAGATCATGCCACTGCACTCCAGCCTGGTGACAGAGCAAGACTCTGTCTCAAAAAAAAAAAAAATTTAACTGGGTGGGGTGGTGGGGTAGCACATACCTGTGTTCCCCCCTACTCTGGAAGCTGAGGTGGGAGGATCACCTAAGCCAGGAAGTTGAGGCTGCAGTGAGCCAAGATCATGCCACTGCACTCCAGCCTGGGCAACAGAAGCGAGACCCTGTCTCAAAAGAAAAAATTTAAAAAAGAAACCAAGACTCAGAGAGGATCAGTGATTTAGACATGGCCTCAGAGCTAATGAGTGGGAGAGCCAACATTTGAATGTGTGTCTTTTGTTCCTAAAGCCAGGGCTTAGTCACTAGTCTACTCTACTTGTTATAGGGGGATGTCCTTCACTGTTCCCCAAGACACAACACACGTTTTGGGACCTAAATTGTCAGACTTCAGTGATCTGTTTCCTCAGCCAAAGACTCATCCTACTGTCCATGGACTTACTCTAATCCTCACTGCATTTCCAGGAGGAACCCTACCCATGACTTCAATGTTAAGGTTTGGCAGAGGGATGTAAGCTATTCAGATGTTTTTGATTTTCCCTCACTATTTTGACTGCTACCCCCAACCTCTGCTTCAAGAGTCCTACATGCACCTTACCCTCCCACTATCACCTTGCTTGTGGAATGTGCCAGGAGCTCCCAAGCTCCAGACCTTTTTTTTCCCCTTTAATGCACTCACTGAAACACAATGATATTGCCTAGGGAATGCATGTAATTTCAACGTTATGTGTGTGATACTCTGGTGTGGAGATTTCCTTTTTATTACTTTACAGGAGTCAATTACAATCTAAATTAGCATGTATGGGAGACACAGAAAGTAACATGTAACATTTCAACTTTTTTAAAATTGAAATTTACCTTTTGTAAATGTCATAGAAAAAAAAGATGAGAGAAAGAGTGACATAAAAGACAATAAAATATTTTTACAGTAAGCTTTACAGGCATGTCTTAATCTTTTAAGACCAGGCCAATCTGTAAGAGTGGCTGCTGCCCCCAACTAGTCACTAAATAGAGTCCTTAAAAGTGTCAGTTTTAAGAATCTTTGTCTCTATTTTTAGTATTGTTTAGTTCCTAAAGAAAGTAAAGCAATATAAAGTATAATGCATTTTAAACAGCGAAGTCAGAAAAATAAGAAAATGCTCAAAAAGGAAGATTATTTAAAATGTAATTCGCACAAAACACGTATAATGTTATTCACTTAAATTGCTGTATTTAACCTAGCAATGTAATTAAATACGATATCAGATCAAAGTTTTACTTTAAAAACTTTTAAAATGTTACTAAAAAGAAAGTTTACAGCTACCCACTTCACAGCTTTGAAAATTTCCATAAAGCATTTAATCTATTAAATAGGAAAAAAAATGACTCACTTTCAAATATTTAAGCATATAGAATAATGGAACTAATATGCTTAAGTGATTTACAGATATATTTTAGAACCTTGTATATTTAAGGGATTATTCCTTAAAGTTTAATCCAACAGCTGTGGAGCAAATATACCTGCCAGGCATTATCTAAGAGCAATACGATGAGAAATACGGGTTTCCATGTCTTGGGTATTTCCAACTTAGTGTAGTGATAAACAATAAACAACTATTGTATTGGGAACCATTTGGAGCATAGTAAATATAAATATAAATAGGATTTATTTCACATACTAAATAGAATTATAAGTAGAACTAAGTTTGATAGGATGGAGGAATGTCAGGTGCTTCATAGATGACATGGGCCTTGTGTTGGTATTCAAGAATGACAAGAATGAAAAGGTGCGGAAAAATTCACGAGATAAGCAATATTCTTATCAGCAGATTCTGATTGTTACACTTTTTTTGTTGAAATAAAACAGGGCAAAATGCCTATTTTCACCTTCATGTTTGTTTCACATTAATGTTTCACATTAATGTCTTTTGGCGACATGAAATTGCATTCATTTCATCATTGATTCAACAAATATTTATTGAGCACTTGCTCAGTGTCATCTATGGGGCTGCAGCATGGGAGTCACAGGAAGGCAGGGTTATCAGTAGTGCTGAGTCTCCAGAGGTCAAACAAGGGAAGGATTCCAAAGCTTTTGTTGGATTTGCTCATAGATCATCGATGGCCTTGACAGGAGTAAAATCAGTTAATTGGTGGGGCCAAATCCAAGACTGCAGTGGATGGACATGTAAATGGGGAGTGAGAAAGTTATGAATAGAGACTATTCTTTCAAGGAATTTGACAGTGAAATGCAGAAAATTGAAAAAAAAAAAAAAATCAACCACAGGCCTGCAGAGCTGCAAGTAGCATCCTCAGGAAATCCTACTGGTCTGAACTGACAAACTAAAAATGGAAAAAATCAGCTTGCTTTTTACAATAACACATTAATCTAAACACAATCGTTGTATCTCAGTATTGTGGAAGTGCTTTGTGTTGTGGCTATGTTTTTAAGTGCCTGTGATATAAAACCACATGTGCTGAAAACTCCATCTGCTCTGCAGTGAGATTTTCTAAATCAGAGTAATAAAAACGATGAAGAGCCAAACGTACACTAAATTGGAATGAAATGCCATTTGTAAAAATAAATTCTTTGTAAATAATATAATATAATTAACATTGGAAGTTTCAATCCATGAGTAAATGTGCCCATTAGTTGCAGTTAAAGAAGCTTGTGCCTTATCCAGGATGACTGTTAAGCAAATGCATATTAAAGATTATTTTATTTACCACCTTCCCATTCCAGGTAGCTTTATCTTTCCATCTGAAGAAAGTCACAAGGCTCTCTATATGATTATTTTGGTACATTAGCATTTTTATGGGGAAGAACATTAATCATATGTCACTCTAAAATAAATGAGAGTAGGCGATGCCTCATTTCTCTTGAAAAGCGTACTCAAATTTGGGTCAGGTTTATTCTTGGGAAGTACTGGACACACATATTTCAGCACCTACGACAGAACCTGTTTCTTAGAAATCTAGAGTATTGATTTTAGCCAACGGGGTATCTTTGTATCTTCAAATCTCATAGAACTTAGAGTTTACGGTGGGGCCGGGCATGGTAGCTGACGCCTGTAATTCCAGCACTGGGAGGCCGAGGTGGGCGGATCAACTGAAGTCTGGAGTTCGAGACCAGCCTCGCCAACGTGGTAAAACCCCGTCTCTAATAAAAATACAAAAATTAGCTGGGCCTGGTGGTGAGCACCTGTAGTCCCAGCTACTTGAGAGGCTGAGGCAGGAAAATCACTTGAACCCTGGAGGCAGAGGTTGCAGTGAGCCGATATCATGCCACTGCACTCCAGCCTGGGCAACACAGTGAGACTCTGTCTTAAAAAAAAAAAAAAAAAAAAAAAAAAAGAACTTAGAGTTTACACTCAATTGGCCCTTAGCATGCATATATATACACACACACGTATATGTATATTTTTTTCTGAATGTGTCATGTGTATAACTCATGTCTCCTTAACCAAATTGTAAGTTAGTTGCATAAATCAGTGTCAATATCACAACTGAAGAAAGGTGGCACGTTCAAAAGGGAGTAATTCAAGGAGTTTAAGCTATGAAGGGGCCCCTTATCATGAACAAGGTAAATGCCACAACCGTGGCTTGTAATGATTTAGCCATTAACAGCCAAAGGGGGAAGGGGACACAGCAGTCACCTGAAACTAGGAGAGAATGCTATACAATTTTTACAGAAATAGAAGCAGTGGCTTTTGGTTGGGCGAAGCCAAACTCACATAATTTGGATGCATGGGAGATAAGAAAATAAATTCCACGCACCCACTTCCTCCCTTCATTTGATTCGCCAGGGTTTCATAGTGGTCATACCCAAGAAAAAGTCAAAGAACATAAGAATATTCTTATTATTCAAATTAAAAGCTAGTGTCCCAGGAAAAGAAGTACATAAAATCTCATCTGCTATTGTTTCATTGCAGGATGGTATTAGTCCTGTTATATATCTGAAATCTGTAAACATAGCCACCACTTGTATTTTTCATAGAAGGTTGTGGAGAAATGCCCCCATTAATAATAATAATAAAAACTTATTATGTGATCTTAGTTAGTAATTACAGTTGCCTTCTTCCAATGTTCATTTCTTTTACTTTTACTTTCTGTCAGGATGCTACAGAGGTTATTTAACAGGTGGATCAGGCCAAAATTTCATTCCTGCCAAATGTTACTCCTTTCCATCCTTTTCTATTTTTTTTTTTCTTTGACAGAGTCTTGCTCTGTTGCCCAAGCTGGAGTGCAGTGGCACGATCCCGGCTCACTGCAAACTCCAGCTCCCAGGTTCAAGAGATTCTCCTGCCCCAGCCACCTGAGTAACTGGCATTACAGGTGCCCACCACGCCCAGCTAATTTTTTTTTTTTTTTTTTTTTTTTTTTTAGTAGAGATGCGGTTTCGCTATGTTGGCCAGGCTGGTCTCTAACCCCTGACTTCAGGTGATCCGCCCACCTCGGCCTCCCAAAGTGTTGTGATTACAGGTGTGAGCCACTGCACTTGGCCCCATCCTTTTGTTAATTATGTTGTTACAATTTCAGTTTTCCATCGACCAGTACTATTGGGCAAAAATGTATTTGTGACTCTCCTGAGTTCCAAATGTATTTCTCCTTGCCCTCCTTTGCACAGCAAACATATTTTTATTTCTGGCAGATGAGGACCATCATCAGACCCAGCTTAGTAACTGTGTTTTGTCTTTTTTTGGGGGAGTTGCATAATGAGCCCACAATGGTGGGGAGAAAATTTCCGTTTCCAATTCAGAGGAATAGAATTATGACTATATTCCTGGTGGATACCCTCGTCCTTTAGGCAATGGACTTCTAAACTCACCAACTTCAATATTATGGGAATAAGAAGCAAATTGTGTTCTGTGGGTTATTGCTGTGATAATAAAAGATAACACTACTACTTCTACCCCTTAGTGCCTAGATCTGTACCTCATGGCTATACAGGTGGGGCACACTGCATGTTAAAGGATGACATCCCGGCTTCAAGGTTATTGCTAAACAAATAGTGCCAAAACTGAGGTAGAGCAGACTATTTTACTCCTCTATCAATCCAAGTACATATAGCTAGTGGGGAACATGATAAAATTAGTAAATACCACCACTGAGCCCATGGTGCTTTTTTGCCACAAAATATTTCCTTTTTTGAGATAAGGTAATGTGGATTATTATGGTAATGGATAAATGTTTCTGTAAAGAGTAGTGCTGAACAGATCCATTGGCAGCAAAAGCAAATCCATGCCCAGAATATGTGTGTATCTCTGTGATGACAAAATGCTACACTGTCTTGATGGAAAGGTTTTCATATAATTCATGTGCCTTCCTCATTACATTATCTCAAAAAAGGAAATATTTTGTGGCAAAAAATTCACGTGCCATCAGCTCTTCCCCTGAGAAGTGATCCTATGTCAAAGGCTCAGCGATGGCCACTACCATTGGCAGGTAATGGTGGGAGCCAGAGGCTGACGGACATGTACTTGGCAGTCATCTTGTCCTAAATTTTTCCCCTTTCTAGTAAGTCGATTCACTTGTTTTTCCTAAACCTCCCTGTCACTAGTTTTCTAATTTTACTTTTGCCACATCCCTGATAGGTGGACCCTTATTAGTTACTGCACTTGAGTCAGGATGTTTCCATGCCTGAAACTAAGTCTCCTACCACGAACAGTGGACAACGAAGTATTCTGTTCAAAATCTTACCAACTGGGAAGATTTCTGTTTCTTATTGTCTTTCAGTGCCACTCCTGAGTCAGATTCTAGTATGGAGCCTACCCAATTCCAGCTCGTTGTTGTACATCCTGCAGACCTGCCATAAACCAGGCCCGCGTTTATTTCTCCCTTGCCAACTTGTGTTAGAAAACATGCTTTGTGGCACAGATGTGAGATGAGGAGAGGGGATGAAGCAGAGAAGGCAATACAATGGGCAATCACATTTGTTTTCTGGCTCAATTTCACTTTTATTTTATAGTGGAATGGTGTGTGTGTGTTCAGTTCTATGGTCAGTGGATCAGATAGCCATCAGTTCATGATGGGCAGTTTGGGTTGCATACTCACTTGGTATCCCATGGTGAGGCTAAATGTTTCTCCTGGAGCCCTGGAAAGAGCTGCCCTTGAAATAGATAATATTTTTCAGTACAAGCGACAATGATCTTTTTTCAAATCTTGTAATGCCTGTCCTATGATTGTCATATGGAGAGTCCCAAAGGCTCCACACAGCATCTCTATTTGCCATGGGCACTGACATTGCCATTGGATCTGCTGGAGTCACAAGGTTCAGGACATAGAGGAGGTTGCAACATGGCCTAGATCAGTTGCAAGGCCCCCTGGTACACTGATTCTACTCAGAACTAGCAGTTTTACAGCTTGCCTGGGATATAGAACAGAGAACATATGTCAATGCGGCTTGTGTTGTTTTCAAAGTCCAAAGAATTCAATTCCTCTTTACTTTTACATAAGTACAATTGTAACAAATTTTCTCTGACTTTAGAAGAGATATCCCGGTGTATCCCAAACTACTAGATTTCTAGAAACATCCCCGGTGTTGCACACTTTTAAATTTTAAAGAAATTTGTCTCCCTTTCTCTACCTCTATGCAGAGGAGTTCTAGTTCCCTAGGATAGCGGTTGCCTCTGTCAGCAAGAAGATTTGTCAGAATTTTGATGTTCAATATCTTCAGCCATAAAATTAACCACATACAGCAGCATTCAACCATAATGTGTTATTTATAAGATTGGCCAAGAAATCATAACTATACTGTATGCTTTTGTCCAAACATTCTTATCCTGTGTGTTGGGGTCCCAATCCATCGTTATGAATATCTTTGTCTTACCCTAAAAGAGCAAATGGAGTTGAGCCTCTAATATGTATTGCAGCCGTGTACCCGTTCCTATGTTCTCTTGGACTGTGGCCATAGTTTCCCTGCAACTACAGAAGAGATGGACTCTTCCAAAGATACCATCGTGACCTTTGGTTTTGCATGGGCATTCCTGATTTCACAATCATGGTTTCAAGCTTTCTTTTTTCCTGTGTACTATCTGTGGGGTGTCAGAAGAACCATGCGAACTTGTTTCCTAATCTTTACATCATCATTGTTGTAGCAAGTAAGTGCTACAACACTTACTTGCTATAACTAGAGATGCTGTGTGGAGCCTTTGCCACTCTCCATATGACAATCATAGGACAGGCATTACAAGATTTGAAAAAAGACCATTGTCACTTGTATTGAAAAATATTACCTATTTCAACAAGCATTTGTTCTCCCAATGCCTTTTCCCTCTACCTGTATTTTATTCCATGTCACCACCACTGATGATTGATTACTCACAGTTCCGTCTCTTGCTATGGATTGTCTATGCTCCAATTCCCACTTGAGAAGGTGATAAATTCCATTTGTATATATAGATAGAGAGATGACAAATGTAGTCTCAACATCTAATTTTGAGGGTCTCTTCTGAGTCTGCTGCTATTATTAACTTCTGTATCTGTCAGAGTCCCAAGTGTTGGCACATTCAACAAGATGCTTTGAAGATAATTGATTTACAAAGTGAACATTTTATTGTCTTTTTATTTACAAGGAGAACATTTGCTGAGGTTAAGGGGTAGGAAAACCACAAAGGAAAGTGATGTAAACTAAGCTAGTAGCAGCCAAGTTGTTAGCACTCCTATGACCATGAAGATGAGCCATTACTAGACACATAAGGAGAAATTTGTGTAGAGGTGGCTGCAGTGACAGAAGTAGTGACATCATTTAAAGTTCACAGCCAGCCTGAGGTAACATTGTAGGATAGAGCCAAGAGAATAAATAACCTGACTTTACTCTCCTCTTTCTAATCTCCTGCCAAAGGGAAGCCAGAGGACATGGGGGCCATTTTGATGTCGTTCATATAGGTTAGCTTTCTGGACCAGAAAGCGGGAATCAAAAAAGTGGATAGTGGATCTTGAATTAAATGAAAGATACCCAGTATACTTCTTATTCCATTTTCTTAGAGCTTAAAATAGTTTGATGAATCTAGTGGGCCCTCAGTTTGGTTGATGATGGTAGAATGCAAATATGATTACATGCAAATGTGAATGAATCATGACATGGATATGGTTTTAGGCCACATCTCACTCTTCAATCACCGTTCTCATTCTGATTACTCCAGTAGTGCTTTCATCTGTTCTGTCTACATTGCTGAAAATCCATGAAATCCTGACTTAGGTGCTTCATTGTTTCCTTCCTCTACAGCTGCTTGCTCTTCCTGGAATTAAAAGGGTGACTCAGAATTAGAGAATTTTCAGGGAAGTTAATAAAATTCAATACACAGTCTAGAAAATATAGGTGTACAATGGAGATTTCAAGGACAGATGTTTGTGGGTCACTGAGCCCACATCTCTACAGTTGGTCTCAAATAACACTCATTTATTCTAGAGGAACTCCTGCATTCTCACATCGCCCACTGGTGGTCACCAGATGGAGAAAGACTTGCCTTCCTGATGATAAATGACTCTTTGGTACCCACCATGGTTATCCCTCGGTTTACTGGAGCGTTGTATCCCAAAGGAAAGCAGTATCCGTATCCTAAGGTAAGTAACATGGAAGTACTATTTTGTTCCTTCTCTCTCTCTGCACTAGTGACTTGACAGATGGTATTCTTGGTTCTTGAACAAGTTGTCTTTGGAGGAAAACAGAAGTTTTCCTTACTTGTCAGACTCATCACTTTCGATCTCCCAGTAGTCTATACACAGTGCTTGGGTAGAGAGAGGTAGAGATGATTTGAAAGTGTGTGAACTTTCACTTTTGTTGCATTTCTTTCCTTTTGATGCTCACTTTTATTTTTTCACACCTTACAGTTGAAAGGGGAGAGAGAAGCAATTGGGGGTGTACTGAGGCCAGGGCAATGTTTTGTCCAAGGCCTATTCCATAATAGGTGTTACAAAGGAGGGGAAAGTGCCATGGTCAAATACATTGGAAGTTCTTAAAAAAAAATCTAGCTTCTTTCAGATGATTTCTTAGAGCACTTAATGTGCTATATGTTAATGTATATTATAAATCTTCTATAAAAAATAGACTATGCATAAAGAATCTCCAGTCTGAAATAGATTAAGCATAAAGAATCTCAATAAAGAAAGGACCAAGTATAAAAAAATCACCCATAAAGAATAGACTAAGCAGAAAGCATTTATTAGTATTAGTATCAATATCAGCATTACCTTGGCAGAGCATACTCTAGAACACACTATATAAAATGCTGGTATGGAGTCATAGCCATGGTTAGGTAAGACAGATGGAATTTTTCATCAGGTGAAGAAATATGGCAATATGTTCCAGACAGCAAAACTATTTTCAAGTGTTGGGCAAGGCCTCTATAAGAGGGTTGCAAAAACATCTGGATTGTACTGTTTTTTCCTCTGTATGCCATCTTTAATTGCTCGAGATCTCTTTTAAACATGTATTTTTTCCCAATGTTTATATAACAAAGAAGAAGGCTCATGTGTAAGGCCCCCAGTATATTAATCATGTAAAGAAGTCTTATGGGAAACGTGTAAAATTTCTCTTCTCATTTTAGCTCCTAATTAAGTAAGAGAGGATGTTGATCTCATTTAGAAGCCATTTTTAAGCCATTTCTTTAGTGAGTTGTACTTTGTCTTTTTCAAGCACAATAGGTTTTCTGCCGTTTAATTCATGCACTACATTAGTTAGACAAACTACTGGGTAGGTTCCCATCACCCTCATTACTCTAGCCCTGTCAGGGTGGGGGTGAGGTCATTTACACTTTCCTTCTGTTCCCACCAGCCACCATATTCATTTTATCCAAAGGCAAAAAAAGGAGGCTTGAATATTGAGGATCAGAAATAAAATGAGCATATTCCTCAGTGAGATTTCTCATCCATGTTCCTTCCACAGGTTGTAGTATTAAATGCAAGATTATAAAGAGTATGATTCCATGATTTTAAAATGTGATTTATAGGGTCTTCTCTGGACATAGATTAGAAAGCAGATATACTCAGTGCTTTTTAGGAGAACATAATGATTTAACTTCACAAAAAAAAAATACTAAGAGATTTTTATTGTACTCAAAGAAAAGAACTTCTGCTTTCTCCAATTATAGATTTAGCTTTTTTTTTTTTTGGCATGACAGTTTGGACCTATACAGCATACCAGCACTATTTTTTCCCCCAGAGAAAACCTGAAAAGTTGCCCCAAATATATTAATTCTCACATTGTTTGATTTATGATAATAAATGTTCACCTGACAATTTAAATGTGAAATGGAGAACTAGTGACATACTGTGAAAGGCACATTCAACTGTTCAGTGCACTGCACAAAGGGAATACAATCACATCTGACTGCTCAACGCACTGCACAAAGAAAATTCAGTCAGTTCTGTGGAAGGGACAACTGTTTGTAACTGATTTCCCAAAAGAAATGGGATTTTTTTTTATTCACATAGTAAAACCAAATGCATTGCTGCATGCTCAAATTGCCTTCTTAGTTCTAGACTCATGGTGCTTGAACTTGGCCATGCCTAGGCCTCATAATTTTGACTAGATTGAGACAAACAAACAAACCAATGGGAGCATTTGAGGAAATTAAATTATGTCAGCAATAATTCAGAAGATACTGGATATGAACCTAGATACTTTATCATTTGATAATGTCTTCTAATAAATTAATATTGCTTAATAGTAAAGATAGGCGTAACATAATAATCTTTGTTTATTAATTGTAGAAATCACAGGTACTAATGATAAACTTTATGTTTTCAGGGAGACTTTCCACTTGTTTGTTTTTTTCTTATTTGGTCTTTATCACAATTGTCTCAATTTTACAAATGAGCAAATAGATTCTGAAAGGCTTAGTGCTTTTATACAAGTCACAGTTATTTTAAGAACAGGGAAAAAACTCAAATCTATTGATTTCATCCCTCTCTATAAAACTCCCACAGGTCAACAATTTGTATTTCCAAAAACACAGCTGGAATCCAAACATCTCCTTGTCAAGTTAACATATACATATGGAGCTCTGTTTGCTCCATTTACTCCTAATGACTTAGCTACATGTGGGTGCCATTCTTAGCCTCAAACCTGTCATTTTATATATATGCAAATAATATGTATAACTATATATGATAACTACCATTAATATTTATTAGAAGTAAAAAACATATGCCTCTAATAGGCAAAGCCAAAAGAAAGAATTTCCAGTCCTCAGGTGATTTTTAGTAGGAAGACCTGCTCACCTACCCAGGTACTTAAGACAATAGGACTCTAAGAAAATAATCTGTTTTGGTCCTTGTTCTTAAAACAAATTTCAGTATCATTTTGGGTATGTTACGTCAATTTTCAGATTTTTTATTATCTACTCTGGTTTCAAAAAATGTTTTGTTAGTTTTTGCTGTAACAAATGTATTGTTTCAATTCACTCTTATGTGATAAACTTTCAAAAAGTGCCACTTTGGAAACTGAAACAACACATAGAGTTTATACTAAATTGTGCTTTAAATTAAACTAGATGAAAATGAGTATAGCAAATACCTAATGTGGTCAGATTTACTAATGAAATACAGTAAACAAATATATTTGTATTTTACTTAATTCAGCATGATTCAGAACTCATAAAATACCCTATCATTAGCAATTCAGCACAAAACAGATGCACGGTTCTATCCCAGTAACCTCAGGTTAATCTTTGTAATTAAAACATTATCTTGTTTAATGACAATCTAGTTGCCAGTAAAATAAGGTTAATTGTTATTGAGGCTTGTGTTTCAGAATAATAGAGGGGAGAAATTTGTGGATTTGCAGTCTTCATGGCAAATGTAACTGTAAAAAGCAAATAGATGAAAACCCTCCAATCTGCAAACTCTTGAAATTATTCAAATATTAAAATTTACAAATGAACTTGCGATGTGTGCTTAATTTCAAAACTCCATGGAAAGATACAAATCTGTGATTAGAGAATGCTGGACTGTTGAATTTTGGAGGCAGCCTAACGCTTAGTTGAGATGTTCACGTTTTGTCTGAAAACTGGCCACATTGTGTGCACAATTTTTACTTTGTGATAAGCTTATAGCGCTGCTGACATAAAGAAAACTGCCTTAAAGATGATAACTGATACGTCTTTAAGAAAGTATGCCATAAAACTGTGCATCATTGGTAAGAATTCACAGAAAGATCTAATTTAATTTAATTTCCCGCTTGCTTTAATCAGTGTATCTAATGATAAAAAATAGAAGCACAGCTTTTCACTAACTGGAAGATTTAATGTCTTAACAATAATTATCATTTTAATTCACTACCATATACTATTTTAGGCACTTTACATAAATCTTTTTATTAGTTTATGAGATATTCTTATCTACAGACAGGAAACCTTCAACTCAAAATTTCTGATTTGTGACATATTCTCAAAGAAGTGTTTGTCTCATTTTTGACAAAATAAGACAAATAAAATGATACTTGAGAATCTTTAGCATGTGCTCATAACCATGCCAAGTAAATAACAGACTGAACATTTGGACTCAGGTTTCATGGACTTACACATTAAGCTAAGCCTGTTCTCGAAATGTGGTCCTTTCACCAGCATCATAGGGCATCAGCTTCATGCTGGAGGTGGACTGCCTTCAGCAGTCAGTAGCTTAAGAAGCCCCTCAGGACCTCTGAATGATTGCGATGCTGTCTAACTTTTGACCACCACTGAGCTGTTACATAGATAGATGCATAAATAGATAAAGATACAGATAAAGGTCAATGTTTTATTAAAATTTGCACACTCACTATCTGGGAATTTTGTAAAAACAGATTTGTAGGCCCACACTGAGAGATTCTAATTCCAAGTCTGAATATAGGTTTCAGGTGGGGTCCATGAATGCGTTGCTCAGGTTCCAGGAGATGCTGATTGATGCTACGGTCCAAGAACAACACTTTGAATGGCACTGCCAATACTGTGTCAGGCTGTAAAGTTCAACATACGAGACCCAGCTAGAGAAATGGTAGGCTGGTAGGCTAAAAATTGAATAGATTAAGGCCGTTATTTTGAGGGAGAAACATGACAACTAAATTAAAACAAGAATGATGTGAAAGAGAGCTCATAAGAGTCACAGAAGGCTAAACTGCCCAAAAAATGTTCCCGGGCACTGTTGGGCTTGGGAGTAATGAAAAGATTTGCAAATTCTGATCCAGAACCTTTGGCGTGCGGGAGGCTCATAGCTTATCTTCCAGGAAGCCCTTTACTCTATGAACCAATTTCATAATCTCTCTTAACAGTTACCTCATTTCCATAGTGGAAACCTTTCCTGACTTCTTTCTTTGGCTCAAAACTTCTAACCTGTGAATGATGTACTTCCACAGATGTGCTAGTCTCTTTTGATATCCAACAAAACATTTATTGAGGAACTCCTGCTGGCTACTGTTGGCATATATTATGTTGATTCTGGTCCTGATTTAACTATGGGTTTTGTCAATGCCAATTCCTTAAACATGGATCTTCGTCATTTTTAAATCAGTTTTATTCCCTTTAGGTTGTTTATTGGATTTTTTAATTCAACTCACATTTAATTTCCTTTTTCTTTTCTATATATCTCATGTGGACTTCTTTAAGCATCAGCCACATCATAAGGATAATGGCATATTGTTTAGAAACATATTAAGTACCTTATTGGTACTTAATGGCATATTAAGTCTAAACTTAATGGCATATTAAGTTTAGAAACATTTGGTACCTCATTGATGGGGTTATTCATTTATTCATTCCAATTGCTTGAAATATGTCATGAAAGTTCTCATTCCTGCCCCTTACTCACAGTGTATTTGGCAAAACTTTGAAGGCCATTGTGTTGGAACAAACAGAAAGCGCAATATTCGCATTGTAGTTAAGAACATCCTGGGTTTAAATACTAACTTTCTCAGTTTTAGGTATTTCACGTTGCACTGTTTGCTTAGATTCTCCATTGTGACCAAGAGAATGTTTATATCTTACGACTGTAGTAGGGACATTTAATTTAATAATTTGTGCAATGCCTTTAGTGCCTACTATGTGCCAGAAACGTACCAACTACTATGCCTGCTAGTTATTATTTATTTAATGAAGTGTTGATTCACTGAACTCAAATTAAATTATCCTTGCTATCCTTGCCTTTCTGTTCTTCATGCCAGGTACTCAGTGAGGACAGTCTGCCCATGGCCCACCTCCCAAGGGTTGTCAATTATGCAAATGAGTCACCCCATTTAGTAATTAGTAATGTTTAAAAGGAAAGCCCGGGAGATTAATGCGATAGCATACATTACGGTTTTGGAATTTTAAGCACAGGGCACCTGGTTTTGGTAGGCGTCTTTCTTTCTTTCCTTTCTATTTTTCTTCATTTCTCCTCTTTTTTTTTAATTAGCCAAACCTTCTTCCCATTGCATTTCATATCCTCTAATGTGAATAACTACTTGATCTACTAGTTTGTTTGTTTGTTTGTTTGTTTGTTTGTACAGCCAGCCCTTCTGGTGCCATTTTAGGGAAAGAACACAGAAGCACTGCCTAATGAGTGAAGTCATCACGATTTCCTATCACCTTTAATTGTCTGAAGAAAATGATTGAGAAGCAGCAATCTTCAAAAACAATTGAGGGCAATCATGTTGTCGAATTTAAAATCATTTCTACTTCAGAGAAATTAAACTTTTTTTCTTTTCTAACACAAAACAGTAAATGAATCAAAAATCCTTTTCTTTTTTACCCAATATATTCTAATGCTTAATGTACTTGCAATACAACTTTCATTTTCTCAAAGGCAGGTCAAGTGAACCCAACAATAAAATTATATGTTGTAAACCTGTATGGACCAACTCACACTTTGGAGCTCATGCCACCTGACAGCTTTAAATCAAGGTATGCAATTTCAATTTCACTTTTATGGGGAAATAGATATTTTCACTCCAATTATCATTTTGTTGCAATTTAGAGAGAGATGTGATCAGCTCAACAAATCCACTTGAAAATAAAGCTGAAGTTGCCTACATTAGTGAGGAATGAAGTCATTCTCGGTCTCTGGCTGTTCCTAGGAAGCATTTAGCTCCAAGGTGATTATCAGCACCATACAATGACTGAAGAGGCTGATACTGAGAATTAGGTCTTTTGCTGGAGATGTGACAGAGATGGGAACAAAAGATCATTTTCCACTGAATTTTCTTCAAGAAAATAGTTGCTCCACATTTTTTTTGAAGGTGTTCATTAAAAGTGTATAATCTCTCTGGAATTTGTGAGTTTTTCCAACTTTCTCCCCATAGTTTTGCCAAAGATTCTCTAGCTTTCTTCTCCAGACATTTAAGAATTTTTTTTTCAAAATATCCTATGTATGAAATACTTATATTTAAGAAACTTGATCAGGGAGAAAGTAAACACATTTTATTGGGTCAGAAGCATAATTGTAATATTAGCAAAATCTTCAGTAGTGAACAACTAATTAAATAATCATGTGTATTTTGAAATCCATCATGGTTTCAGACTTCAAAAGTGATTCTTTCAAATACTAGAGTCCTTTGGAAATTTATCACAACCCTAGAGATGGGATAGGCAGCTGATTTAGAAAAATGTTTTCACATTATATTGAATGATGTGGGGATAAGTTCAAAGTTTATTTTGATGATATCGATAATCAGGGTGATTGGTTCCCACAGAAATTTCATTCAAATGTTGTTTCATTGACATTATTTAGAAAAAATTTCATCCCAGTTGGTCATTTTCACAGAGAGTGCAGCCTGATGTGTGTGGAAATTTTACGTACTTGAAAAGGTAATAAAGGTTTATGGAATGCTTACTCCAGAAGACCCTCATTAACTACCTAATATAAACTTCTCCTTCTACTGATGGAAAAGATAAATCCCAGTGAGAGTAAATGATTTAGATTAGGGGCTCAGGACTCATTGATAAGAAAAGTAGAAAATGAAGTAAGGACTCTTTCATCAGGTTACAGAGCATTTCATCCACGTTGGATGGAAGACCTTAATAATAGGCCTGAATTGGCATATAATGTAATACAGTTGACCAAATCAAATAGTAACATTTATTTCTGAGCTTGATCTAGCAGCCATGAATGGTTACGTTACAAATGAAACAATGATGGATACTATTGACATTTTATCTGGTCCTTAACTCTTATCTTTTTCTCTGGTTTGTTTAATGCTATGGAATAACAGAAAAGGGAAATAGACTAGGAGTGCTTGAGTCACATGTCTACCACCATTTCATTTGTCTCATTGGATAAATCACTTTACCTCTCTCAGGGCTGAATCCCCTTGTCTTTTTTTTTTTTTTCTTGAGATGGAGTCTCACTCTGTCACCCAGGCTGGAGTTCAATGGCACAATCTCGGCTCACTACAAGCTCCGCCTCCCAGGTTCACGCCATTCTCTTGCCTCAGCCTACTGAATAGCTGGGAGTACAGGCACCTGCCACCACGCCCAGCTAATTTTTTGAATTTTTAGTAGAGATGGGGTTTCACTGTGTTAGCCAGGATGGTCTCAATCTCTTGACCTCGTGATCCGCCCGCCTTGGCCTCCCAAAATGCCGGGATTACAGGCATGAGCCACTGTGGCTGGCCCCGCTTGTCTTGAAATAAAATTTCTAATTTTTTTCCTTTCAAAAAAAGTTTGCAATGGGAATCAAATTTACAATATCCATGTTTCTTTCTAAAAGGAGCTCTTGATTCCTGACCTTGATTTTTTTTACCTATTTGTATAAATATAAACATATATAAATTGAATTATTAATAACATACTTTCTTCATGTCCTATTAAGTTAATCAAATGTCCTCTCTTCTCTTTGATGTTTGTGTTGTGTTCATAGTATAGCTACCTGTACAGTTTAAAATACTGCCTAAACTCTCAATAGCAGAATATTTAAATAATTCATTTTATAATAATTTACATGTTTATGGGTTTTTTTTTTTTAGTATGTTACTTAAGCATCTGGTATATTTTTATAATCTTTAGGTTATCTGTGAATTGACAGCCAATAAGTGAATCATATTATGTTTCTCAGTACAGTTATAAACTATCATTTTTTTCTTTTTTAGTACTTTTTTCCACCACACCTAAACCACAAATATGATCATCTCTTAGTTTTCTTGTCTTAATAAAATCGCCAAAATGACTACAATAATAATTGAATACATATATGATTATGTCTATATAAGGAGGAATAATAGTAAGATAAATATAGAAAGATTTTTTTCATGACTTCCACTACCTTATAAACCAGATTCTCTGACCTCCACACTGGAGAACAACATTTTTTTGTTGTTTGAATTGAAGATCTTAGGTCCTTTTTTTGGTCTGTCTGATTGCTTATTTGGATGATTGGTTTCCTTATTTATAATAACTAGTGTTTATCACTGTAATAGAAAAAGTTCCCCAAGCTAGTATCATTATCCCTTCAACCCAATACTTATACTCACCAAAGACTGTAAAATACATTTTAATTAATTTATATGATTTAGAAAGAAATTAAAAGGATAAGATAATCTACAGAAAGACATAATTTCTTCTCCTAATTCTTACCCTCATAGTCTCTTCAATTGTTTTATTTATTTATGTCTGATTCAGCTGAAGTCATTTCATCAATTTAGACAATGAGTGCAACTTTTCCTCAATAATAATTCAGTTCAGACTCATCTCATCACCATTCAGTTTATCTTTACCTGAATCACAGTCTGTATTGATTCTGAAAAGAATGTAGCATGGTAGGAACTAAGATAATGCCCCTTTTTGAATATCCCCAGAACTAGTGGGAGTTGGATGGGTTATCTCATCTTGGAAGGAAGAAACATTTTGTCAAATTGTTGTACTGTGCACTTAAGGTATTGCAATCACACAATACCTTTATTAGAAAATTTAAGTGTGAATTTTAAAATATATATTTACTTTCCAGGGAAATTTTATCTTATGATAATGAATCATGAAGATTTTCCACAGATTGGATAAGTCACATTAATTTGGAGAAGTGATACGTGGTCATTTGTGTAGACCTCTCTAGTCTGAAGAGTAAAAGTAATGATTTGTCCTTGGTTTCTTCTTACTCTATGTCCTTAGCATTATTTTACTTCTTAGAAATCTTTCTGTAGTCACTTATCTTTTGTGACCCATTGTTCTCAACCTGCATCACTGATTTAACATGGTCATTTTGCCCCTGTGACTCTGGGCTTGACACTGTCATGCTTTCTCTCCCTATTTCTTTAAGTATATCTAGCCTACATCTCTTACTCTTCCAAGGAGTATCTGTGCCTTCCAAGAAAATCTAATTAATAAATTAACCCATGTTCATGGAAGTGTCCTGAATAACCCTTCTGACAAGTAATGCATAGTTATTAACAGAGGTCTTTGTAGAACGCTAGCTATAATTTGGTCATGAATACCATCACAATATACTTATGGGAAGACATCACAGATTATCTAGAAGAAAATGAGCTCAAAGTAACTACACCGCACAAATATTTTGGTGTAAACACAGAGCAATGATTGGACAGGAAGGCCATGAAAACACGGTGTAACTGCTAACATACCTGTCTGCAGGTGATGCTGGGGCCTCCATTCCACATAACCTTGTGTACAATTAGATCTTCTGTGCCAGACCACCCAGCTGATAGAAAGTCTGTTGACTTGAGTGCAATCCCTCTAACTAGCTTGTCTCTGTCTCTGTGGCTCAAGAGGACCAGATCCTCGAGGACTTCCTGGGTAATCCAGAGCCATGGAGACTAGGAACAAGCAGGAAACCCAGTTATAAGAAAGGGACACTTCTGCTGGCCACTGGTCGTGGAACACCAGATCTAATGTGTTCATGAGATGGAGTTCCAGGAGGACAGCTACATCTGCAGCAGGCAGGCCAACGAGTGTGACATTTCCAGGTAAGGGTGCTTCCCTACTCCCTCATTCAGAGACAGCCTGAATACTTATGAGTAAGCAAGATCAGTCAATATGAATCACAGGGAGATGTACACCTAGGCTCCTGGGGCAAGGAAAGAAAGGATATAGGAAGTGATTGAGTTAATAGATATATCTTTCCTCCCTGCCTATGTGTCAAGCTCTACTTGAGCTTCCATTTTGGCTATCTCCAACACCTTCATATAGAAATTTCAGTGGTTTGAAATGGTCGTTTGTTAGACTTTACCAATTAAAATTTGTGGAGAGCTTTCATTCTTCAGATTGTGTTTACCATGTGCAAGGTCATTCTTGGGTATAAGCAAGGTTTGTAATGAGGTATCTCACATCAGATTATGCTTTGCTTATGACCGTAAGCCACATTATTTAAAAACAGACACAATAATCACAATATTTAATCAAAGAGAACTATAAGTATATTGCTGTAAATTAATGATTTTCAAGTTAACAGTTTACAACTAAGTTAGTGTTCCCTTAAAAATCAGTTATTCACCACATTTGTACTCGTTGGCTTTTCATTCTTTTCCAAAGATTAAGTTCTTTTTTTTAAGTCAAAATTTGGCATCTTAGCTAATAAATATATTCTGTCATGCCTGTGAGGTGTTGCAAAGATGTTCTTGTAGCATTTCATTTGAGACCAACTTTGAAAAGGAAAGCTCTCAAGATGAATGTTTAAATTCTGTTTTGTTGTTGGTGGTATTTATTTTTAAAATTATTCATGTTAGTTTGTTACCTCATATTGCACAAAATATAATATTATGGCAGGTAATTGAGACAAATTTCTGATTATATTAGAAAAGCAACTATATATCAGTTCAATATAGAGTTTACCAAAAAATATGACCTTCTTGATTTTGCAGTCTTTGGTTAGTTGTTTACAATATTCAAATTAATTTTTTACTTCAAATTTCAACAACATTTATATCAATTATTCAGCATTTCAGCACTTATTTTCTGATTATTTATAGTACTTACTATCATTTTTCTATAAACTAAATTCTCTAGAAAAATCTATTAAAGGTTAATACTTCATTTTCTACTTTTTAATATTCACATTGCTAAATATAATGGTGTATGCAAAATAATCGGCTTAAACGAAACACAGTGAAAGTGAACAGGACACTGTTCTTTGCAGGATCACAAGGCCTATTGATATGGACAAAGATTATACCTAAGCCAGCTGCATATTTGATTCAATGTTGCCTTATTAACTCTACTTCGGGCACTTTATGTTTTGATTTCACTGAGTTTAAAGGCAGTTTTCAAGCAGAGCTCAGCTAGTTGTGGCAGCTGCCAGATGTCTTGAAGAAATTGTTGAAAAAAATATTACAGCCTTCCTTGTATGTCAAGTTATGCTTGCCCTTCTACTGACATCTTCACTTTGATAGGCTAACAGGTTTTCTAGAGGAAACAGTAGCTACTCGGTAATGTTAGATATGTAACATTCATGTAGTTGTATATCTAACCCAGATACCTCTAAAGACAGGCAATTTGTATCAAGAGGTTATTTTTCTGTAGTTGATATTTTTCTAAGTCATATAAAACTGGGTTAATTAACTGTGTTTTTTTTTTGTTGTTTTTTTTTTTTTGAGACAGAGTCTTGCTCTGTCGCCCAGGCTGTAGGGCAGTGGCACGATCTCGGCTCACTGCAACCTCTGCCTCCCAGGTTCAAGTGATTCTCCAGCTTCAGCCTCCCGAGTAGCTGGGATTATAGGCATGTGCCACAACACCCGGCTAATTTTTTGTATTTTTAATAGAGACAGGGTTTTACCATGTTAGCCAGGATGGTCTCCATCTGCTGACGTCGTGATCCACACGCCTTGGCCTCCCAAAGTGCTGGGATTACAGGCATAAGTCACTGCACCTGGCCAAAACTAGTTTAATTAGTTTTAATACAGTACATTGATGACACTTTCCGTGACACGTGGATGGCTGTTTCTTCTGAGATCAGATGAGATTGGGCATGTTCAGGATGGTATGGCTGTAGACTGGATGGCTATTTCTAAAGTAACTGATCTGTTCTGAAACTGGGCAAGTTTTTAGAGAAGTTTTTTTAAGTTTTTATCATAAATGGATGAGTATTGATGATTGCATTTTGTTGCGTGTGAGTTGGAAGCTTTGTGACATATTGTATACCTGTCCAAATGTATGTGTTACAAAGGAAGATATATAAACTTTCCAATCACCAGTTACCATGAGGACATAATTGGCCCCATAAATTATATCTTTATTATACCAAGAATTTAATAGACTCCCATCTTCTTTAATTTGATTCATTTCTTGTTTAAAAATGTTTCAAATAAATAAGATAATTAACAATATGGAAAAAATTATGTATTAAAAATTGGGACTGGTCCTTGGTCTACAACTGGCAAAGACCAAAACAAACCATTCATACCTTGGTAGCCAAAGTCCCCACGTATGAAGTGAAATAACACAGAGGTTATGTATAAAGGATATAATTATTAAGCCAGGAATAATCTTTGCCTTTTAACTGGAAGAGATTATTCTTGATGATTCATTGATTGTGATTTTAAAGAAAAAAATAACATACCTTTATAAATGTATACTTGTTTTGCACTTAAAGGAGTACTAATCAATAGAAAATTTTCATAAATATCTAGCATGTCATTGTTTTGATTTTTCCAAGAAATACTTTTCTGGGAAATAATTCACTCTCAAATTTGTTCTCAAATTATCTGTATATTTGTATACATATGTATACATCCATGTGAATACATACATACACATATATTTGTATTTATATATGTAAATATTGAAAAGAGCAGATATCTATTTATCTATCTATCTATACATAAATTAATATGTAGCAACATCCTTATAGTGGTTCAGTTATTCTTATATATAAAATGGCAAATGTATATTGTTGGTACTATATCAATGCTCTGGCTCTAAACATACATTTTAATTTTGTTTCCAAACTAGAGAATACTATATCACTATGGTTAAATGGGTAAGCAATACCAAGACTGTGGTAAGATGGTTAAACCGAGCTCAGAACATCTCCATCCTCACAGTCTGTGAGACCACTACAGGTGCTTGTAGTAAAGTGAGTATAATTTATTTTTCTTTTATGCCTAAAATGAAGTAGCTTATGCAGCTTTACAAAGGGGAAACAGGAAATGCTTTGTACAAAAAAAATTCAGTGTTTAACTTTTAAAACTAATAGGAAAAGAATTATTCTATTAAGAATATATACTTTAATTTATAAAGCTTCCAAACTTTGAAGTGAACAATATTGATGATAAGCAGAAGAGAACAAACTGAGCTTTTGAAAACCAAATTAATTTTTATACAGCATGAAGTATAATCCAAGCCACGTTAGCTTCTTTCTCAGATATGGAATTTTTCTCCATATTTTGTCTTTGATTATCTTGAGAATATAAGAAGTTTCTTTCCTATCTTCTTTAAACATATTCCTTTTAATTTTTTCTGTAGTTCAGATAGATCTGATAAAATAACAGTGTTTCTGTACTGAAATTAAGTAAAACAAGTAAAAAATTGGTTCATGAACTACTCTGTTTTGAAATCAGGTTATATTTCAATTCTTAATACCAGTTTTTGTAAACTCTGTGGTAAATTCAATGTGTCATTTTTAAGATTCCTGGTAGAGAAAACACTGCAGTAAGTTTAAACGGTTATGTGTATGGTATTTGGGTAAAGCGTTTTTAGATTAACAACTGAATTTTCAAACTTCTGTTCTGGAAAAGATGGAGTACGTGTTACCTGACTAGCTTTTCTGTTATAAACAACTGTAAAATTGTACAAAATATACAAAACATCTGTTTTCAGATATGGGACATTAGGAGGATCATGACCATAAATGCTGAAATCAAGTAAATGCACAAAATCAACCTTGCTATGACTTTCTATTCACAACACTTTTGAGACCAAATGGCAAGGAGATGGAGCCCAAGCAAAGCAAAAAGATTTTTGTGATCTAAGCAGACAGGGAGAACCAGCGTTTGAGGCTTTTTTTGGTGACTAGCATTTATAGGACAGGGACCAGAGAAGTTGGAGCTTTATAGAAAAGGACTCCAGCAATCTATGGAGAGGACCCCTTAAGTATTAGGCTCAATGCTTAGCTGTGCATACCTATATGTTTCCACACTGTCTTAAAGAAAACAACTACTAAAAATTTTTGAAGCAAATGAAGAATCTGCAAGTTGCAAAGTACTTAGAGACGTTAGAGTTCTGAACAACAATAGTGAAGAGATCTCCCTGAAAACCCTGGGTATTCAACTGAGAACCCAGAAAGAAAGCACATTAGAAGTAGGGCTAGTCTAGACACCTTCTAATCACCTTTCAATTACACTGTAAGGTATCAAGTTCATCTGTCTGTAAATTAACTGTCTACTAGGACAAAGTGTACATTTTTAAAGGGGAAATTACAATTGATAAAGACTATCAACAATGTAGCATTTATAATGTCAATCATATGATCAATACTATATATGTAGAAAAGTGGAAAATATAACCTACTCACCTTCCTCAAAAATATCCAGTAAAAGCTGACCTACAAAGGATAGTAATATTGGAATTAGCAGACACATGTTTTACAAGTTATTAGAAATGATAAATGTTGGAAGTGATGGATATCTTAAATACACTGATTTGATTATTGCACCTTGTATACAGGTATCAAAATATCACATGTACTCCAAAATATGTATGATTATTATGTATCAATAAAAAATTAAAAATCAAGGTAAAAGTTAAGTACAGTGAAGTGAAGAAATCTCACATGTGCAGTTAAATGAGTTTTGGCAAATGCATATATCCCGTAATTCACACCTCATCATGATATAAAACATCCCTATTATCCCAGAAAGTTTCTTTGTCCTCTTTTTCAATCAGTCTCAGTTCCCAGAGGCAACTACTATTCTGAGGTCTATTATAAATTAGTTTCGCATGTTTTTAAACTGCATATAAATGCATTTATACAATAACAAAGTTATTAGAAATAAATCTAACAACTTAGAATAGCTCCAATAAATAAACAGGTGGAAATTTTAGTGGAGAAATAAACTTTAAAATGAAACTAAAATTTCAGGAACTGAAAAATACAATGTTTGAAATGAAAACATTGAATAGACAATTCAGAAATAAATACATGTGTTTATAGTGAACTGATTTTCAACAAATGCATCAGAACAGATATTAGGGAAAGGACAGCCTCTTTAGTAAATATTGCTGGAAAACTGGATGTCAATGTGCAGAAAAATGAAACTAGATGTGTATCTCTCACCATATACAAAATTCAACTCAAAATGAATTAAAAACTGAACCGTAATTTCCAAAGCTATAAAACTACTAGAAGAAAACAGAGAAAATGCTTAAGGACATTGGTCTAGGCAAAGATTTTATGGCTAAGACTTCAAAAGCACAGACAACAAAAAGAAATGTAAATTGGTACTGCTATTATGGAAAACAGTATGGAGGTTTCTCAAAAAACTAAAACTATAATTAACATATGTTACTAGCAATTCTACTACTGGGCATTTATCCGAAACAAAGGAAATTAGTATATGAAATACACACCTGCATCTGATGTTTACTGCAGCTGTGCTCATAATAGTAGGGATGTAGAATCAACCTAAATGTTCATCAATAAATGAATGGATTTTTAAAAAAGCATACATATATACTTTTTAAAAAGTATATATGTATGCTTTTTTAAAAAGTGTGTGTGTGTGTATATATATACATAAAACATTCCATTGTACATATACAATGGAATACTATTCAGCCATAAAAAAGAATGAAATTCTGTCATTCATGGCAACATGGATAAGTCTGGAGGACGTTATGTTAACTGAGATAAGCGAGTCAACACAAAGATAAATATCACATGCTCTTACGTCTATCTGGGGGATAAAAGAAATTGCACTTATAGAAGTAGAGAGTAGCATTGTGCTTATAAGAGTCTGAAAAGCTTGGGAGGAAAGGATAGAGAGAAGTTAGTTAACAGATACATTACAGCTAGATAAGAGGATTAAGTTCTAGTGTTCTGAAGCACTGAAGGTTGAATGTGGTTAATAATGATTTAGTGTTTATTTTCAAATAGCTAGAAAAGAGAATGTTGAATGTTTAAAGCACATAAAAAATGATAAATGTTTGAGGTAGTGGATATATTAATTATCCTGACTTTGTCATTACACATTTTTTACATGTATCAAAATAGCACTCTGTATTTATAAATATATACAGTAATTACATGTCAACTAAAAATAAAAGGAAAATACATCACCAAAGTGAATGTATGAAGAGGAAGAATATTTGAATAATTTTACATCAATTAAAGATAAAAATAAAGAATGAATTAAAGATAAATTTATTTAGTAAATTACATAAATTTAATTCATAATTAGAAACCTTGCCACAAGGAGAACTCTAGAAGCGGGTGGATTGCATGATGGATTCTATCAATTATTAAGGAATAAATCCTGTAATTCCTTGTCTTGGTTTGTTTTGTGCTGCCATAACAACCTACCACAGGCTGGGTAGTTTATAATGAACAGAAACTTATTGACTCACAGTTTTGGAGGCTGGGAAATTCAAGATCGAGAGGTTGGCATCTGGTGAGGGACTTCTTGCTGCATCATCCCATGACAGAAGGGCAAAGAGAGGGTGAGAGAGAGAGAAACAAAAGGAGGCTGAACTCGTCCTTTTATAAGGAGCCCACTCCTGTGATAACAAACCTACTCCCATAATAAAGACATTAATCCATTAATGATGGCAGAACCCTCATGGCCTAAATACTCCGTAAGATTTTACCTCTTAATACTGTTGCAATCACACAATCACAATTAAATTTTAACATGATTCCGGAGTGGGGAGCAAATATTCAAACACTGTATCATTCTTTCTAAGGAGTATATGATAACATCCCTGTACTCCTTAGAAAGTGAAGAAGAAAGAGAACATTTCAACTAATATTATAAGAGTAGAATAATACTGATACCACAACTAGACAAGAAAAATACAAGAGACAACATTTTAGACTGATCTCTCTCATTAACACGTGTAATAGTCTGTTTTCATGCTGCTGATAAAGACATACCGAGACTGGGCAATTTCCAAAAAAAAATAATAATAATAAGGTTTATTAGACTTACAGTTCTGCATGTCTGGGGAGGCCTCACAATCATGGCAGAAGGCAGAGAGGAAGAAGTCACATCTTATGTGGGTGGCAGGAGGCAAAGAGCTTGTGCAGGGAAACTCCCACTGTAAATCCATCAAATCTCATGAGACTCATTCACTATCATGAGAACAGCAAAGGAAAGATTCGCCCCCGTAATTCAATCACCTTCCACCGGGCTTCTCCCACAGCCATGGGAATTGTGAGAGTTACAATTCAAGATGTGATTTGGGTGGGACACAGCCAAATCATATCAGCACAAATATGAGAAAGTCCTTAAACATATCAATACTCAACTCCAGCAATATAAATAGAGGATAGTGCATTGAGATCAAATGAGGTTAATCCCAGGAACTTAAGATTGGTTTAATATTGAAAACCAATCAATATAATATATTAAGAAAAAAAGAAGAATTAAATATCTTGGTAGATGAAGAAAAAGCAATTGACAATATTCAAAACCAATTCACGATAACTTTCAATATAAATGAATAACAAGAAACATCCCCAATCTATTAAAAGATACTCATAAAGTACCCCCTTACTGAATGTGCAAACACTCACCTTATTCATGTTAAGATTAGCAGTGAGATAAGGGTATCCATTCTCAGTACTATCAAGCAAACTTTACCAGAGGCCCCACTCAGAGTAATTTAGCAAGGAATCAGTATAGTGTTAGGAAAGGAAGAAGTAAATCTGTATTTATAGATAACATAACTGTATACATTAACAAAAAAGCCTACAAAAAACCCTAGAATACAAAATCACAATTTGTAAGGATGCAAATGGGGTAAAATATAAACAAGTGGCAAGTAAGTCCAGAGGGCATTCAGGTTTCTCAAACCAGTCTTCTAACTTTTGTCTATAAGTTTGTACTTGTTTCAAAATAAAGAATGAAGAAACAACAAAACATAATTTCTAAATGTTAGTGATATTAAGAAAAAAAATCAGTTAAAATACCACTAAAACCCTTAAAACTTTAAATACACAATTATAAACTTAACAAATATTGTGAAATACCCCAATACTGAATACTACAACATTGCTAAAAGGCATTTGAAAGACCTAAATAAATGGAAGCTATTCCATGTTTTTAAATAGAAAAAATTAATATTGTTAAGATATTAATTCTACCCAAATTTAACCATAATTTTAATATAATACCAATTAAAGTCCCTTCTGATTTTTTTTGTAGAAACAGACAAGCTGTTTTTAAAATTAATATGGAAACAAAAAATACCTGAACAAGTCAAAGTAATCCTGTAAAAGAATAAAATTGAAGGAGTTAGCCCTACCTGATTTCAAGAATAAATAAAAAGCTACAAAAACCTGGAGATGCTAGTGGAGGCATAAGGACCACAAATAGGTCAACTAAATTGAATGGTTTGCAGAGAACAGACCCACATTTATATGATTGATTGATTTTCTACACAGGTGCTAAAGCAGTTCAATGGAGAAAAATGGTGCTGAAAAAATTGGCATCCCGATTGGATAAAAAAAATTGATGTTTGACAACTCATATCATATTCTAAAATCAATTTGGGATAAATCATAGCCCTAAATTTAAGAGCTAATACTGTCAGTGTTCTAGGGGAAAATATGAAATAAAACCTTACTATACTGAATAAGCCAAAAAATCATTAATTATGAAACAATAAATTGGACATCAATAAAATTAGAAACTTCTCATCAAAGACACCATTAGGGAAAAGGATATGCAAACTACAGTCTGGAAGAAAATATTTTGCCAAATGGGTATCAGACAAAAACACATATAAAGAAATTCTATAACTCAATAATAAAAACACAACCTCATAAAAACATCAAAACATGTGAACAGTTACTTATAAGGAAAAGAATGAACATATGAAAAAGTACTCAACATTTGGTCAGGTATGGTGGCTCATCCTTGTAATTTTAGTTATTTGGGAGGCTGACATGAGAGGATCTTTTGAGCCAAGAGTTCAAGACCAGCCTGGACAACAAAATGAGATCCCATTTCTATATAAAAAAAAAAAAATAAAAGCACTCAACTTCATTAGACATTAGCAAAATATAGATTAAAATTATAATGGTATATTATACATAATTAGAATGACTACACTAAAATAACAAAAAACTGACAACATTAACTGTTAAAGAGGACGTGAAAAACAAAAATTCTCGTTCTTTGCAAGTGGGAATGTAAAATGATATGATTACATTAAAATAATATTTTAGTTCCAAATGAAGTTAAACATATGTAAACACAATTTTTTTGTTTATATATAAATAAGAAGACATATATACACACACACATATATATACACATATACATTCATATATAAAAACACATTATAGGCTGGGCACGGTGGCTCATGCCTGTAATCCCAACACTTTGGGAGGCGGAGGCGGGCAGATCACCTGAGGTCAGGAGTTCGAGACCAGCCTGACTAACATGGAGAAACCCCGTCCCTACTAAAAATACAAAATTAACCGGGCATGTTGGCGCATGCCTGTAATCCCAGCTACTCCAGAGGCTGAGGCAGAGAATTGCTTGAACCTGGGAAGTGGAGGTTGCTGTGAGCCAAGATCATTCCATTTCACTCCAGTCTGGGCAACAAGAGTGAAACTCCGTCACAAAAAAAAAATACAAAAAACAAACAAAAAAAAACCCATACATTATAATTCCATTACAAAGTATTTGCACAAGAAATGAAAACATGTGTTCACCAAAGGATTTGTAAGAAATAGTCTGTAGAGAAGCTTTATTTACAATAGCTAAAAAGTAGAGACTATTTAATTGTCCACTAACAGGAAATAGACTTTAAAGTAAGACTTATCTACACAATGGAATTCTACTTGGCCATAGAAACAAAATACTGATACGCTCAACAATATGAGCGAATCTCAAAAACAAGTGGTGTGGAAGAAACCTCACACTACAGAGTACATAATAGGTATGTAATGCATGATTTCAATTATCTGATTTTCTAACACAGGCATATGCTGTCTATGGGGAAAAAGATCAGAAGTGATTGCCTTTTGAGAACCTCTGGGGAGGAGCATGAGTTAATGTTTTGGGGAAAAATAAAGATCCTATAACTTGATGGGATAAACTTGTCAAACTCATCACATTATACACTTAAAATCTGTGCATTTCACTATATGTGAAAAATTTAAAACATATTATTTAAATGGTCTGTGAAGGAGAGCCCTCAAGAGGCAGACATTTCTCTTTGAGTAGAATGATGAGCATAGTCGTGGAAATGAGATAGTTAAATCAACCACTTGATGCTCTTCTCATTAAGCTTGTATTACTAGAAAATTCATCTCTTTCTTTTGGCTAGATTATAGATTGACTAGAATTTCTCCACGTATTTGTTAAAGTGTTCTGGATGGTTTTTATTCGGCTGATTAGTAAGTCATTTAAAAATTGGCCTACAGGCCGGCTGTGGTGGCTCATGCTTGTAATCCCAGCACTTTGGGAGGCCAGTGTGGGCAGATCACCTGAGGCCAGGAGTTTGAGACCAGCCTGGCCAACATGGTGAAACCCTGTCTCTACTAAAACTACAAAAATTAGCCGGGCATGGTGGCACACGCCTGTAATACCAGCTACTCAGGATGCTGAGGCAGGAGAATTGCTTGAACTTGGGAGGCAGAGGTTTCAGTGAGCCGAGATCGGGCCACTGCACTCCAGCCTGGGCAACAAAGCAAGACTTTGTCTCAAAAAAAAAAAAAAAAAAAAAGGCACAGGCCAGGCATAGGTAGCTCACACCTGTTATTCCAACACTTTGGGAGGCCAAGTGGGGAGAATGGCTTGAGGCTGAGTTCAAGACCTACCTGGGCAACATAATGAGACACCATCTTATTTTTACATAAAAAATTAAAGTAAAAATTTAAAAATTAGCCTACATATATTGTAGTTAGAGAAAGCCCTTCTAGACAAAGATACTGTAAATATTTCATTGCATACAGATAACTGCAAAGATAAATTAAAATGCTTTAATAGAAAATAGATCCAGTAATCCTATCATACTATTGATCTGACACCTTATTGATATTGTATTTTATTCTACGTATGGAGATAAAAAGACTTTGCATTCTGTTAATTGAAATAATGAGACAAACAATAACAAATGAAGTTTTGAGCTCTCAGGGGTTCTACCAAAACTTGGTGGTACTAACAAGCAGTGGCATTGGTATCTATTTTATTTCTGTGCTTTACAGATATCAAGAATGGTTAATGCTAGGGTGTAAATGGAGAATAAAGAAATGATTCAGTTAGATTTTTTTTGATATCTTCACGTAATGAAGATCTATTGAAAAAAAAAGTGCCCTGAAAAGAGAAAGTGACCAATTATAATGTAATCATAATATGGATTTAGAAAAAGAAATTAGTATTTAAAAACATATAAATAATTTATTATTAACAATTTGAGATGGGTACCTCTGCATATAGGAAAGCCCCTAATATGTTGTTACTTATCTTTCTTAATTTGAATACGTTTATTATAGAATCATTTCTTTCAGAAAACTGCAAGATATTTCATGTCATTACATGTAAACGGTATTATTAAAGCTTGTTTTTTCTACACATATTTAACGAGGTTAAATTAGTCTAATTTTGCTTTTTGCAATATGATTTTGGCTCTGATCTACTGCAAGACTGTTTTGAAGGGACACATAATTTTGTCATTTCAAATGTTTGATATTTTTTCTCAAAGACTGAGTTACTACTGATAAGAAAAAAAGAAGGCCATGATTATGAGTGAATTGAATATTGAAAGAATGTCCACTTTTTAGTTTTATTCCTGGCTGTTTGCCCAGTTGCTTTGAAGGACTTAATAATTTTGTCTCCCAATGATGCCTAGAGGTGAAAAGAGACAGTGTCTGGTGGTTCAAAACAGTTGAATGAGGTAATCAAACAGAGCTGGAAAATGATCTTCTCTCCCTGGTGAGGTACTGCTGGGAATTCTGAAAGAATTCACCAAAGAAAAGACTTTATAATTAAATTATCGTTTAGTCCCTATTCTCTACTTACTCATTCAGATTAAATCAATAATGACAATGAAATCTCTCATGGTGTTTCACCAGTTGAAGAGAGGGAAAAAAAACTGATAACCGTGTTTTAAAAAAGTTAAATTTATATATGCTCATTTTGGTCTTTAGATGCTTCATGGAGTTAATTGTTTTGTTTCAGAAATATGAGATGACATCAGATACGTGGCTCTCTCAGCAGGTACAGTATAGGTGGTCTGTCACATCTTGGCCATTGTGACCATCCTGTTCACCCATTTTTTATGTGATAACTTTCTGTAAAAAGTATGAGTTTAAGGCTTTGCTAGGTTTGACAGAGTGATCCTTTTTCATTAAAAGGATCACTTATGACTTGGGCTTTCTATGGTATCATTTGTGAAAAGGTTACTTCCATTTTTTTAGGAGACATAAATTGCAGAGTAGCTGCCAGGATCACTTTTTAAAATATTCTGTGTAAGTACACTCTTGTGTAGATGAAGGAGAAAAACTCAGGACCTAACCAAACTAGAAATCATTAGCATTGTTCAAATTGTCTGAAAAATTGACCTGACCTTTACATAAATTGATCATGGAGATATTCAAATAAATACTTCTCTTCTTAGTTGTATTCTAGCTCACAATTCTAGTTTGTGACATAAATGAGGCTGGAATCAAGATGAACATGACGGACTAAAAACCTAATCACTGTTACATGGTCTCATCCTGGACAATTCAGAAGGAAACAACACAAATAGCTTATTTAAATATAGCTGAATTCATTTTACTCTTAACTACATTAGTGAGTTTTGCAAAGGGAAATAAGATGTGTGGTATGGTTTGGTTTGGTTTTCTTTTTGTTCTTTAAAGCCCTCTTTTATTTTATATTACGTCTATGGCGTTAATGACCACCCATATTTTGAGACCTTCACATTTATCCAGACACTTCAGTGAGTTCTGAAATATCCAAATTTATGCTTGCCATCTCCTCCTAAATCTGTAAAAGTAGCTTCATACTCCCCAGGTCTAAGCTGAACTCATTCCTTTTCTAGTCAGTCTTCTTAATTTTTATCTTAGGACTCAATGACATAATTATCCATTCAGATGTTAAAACTATTTACCTAATAGTCATCCTTGAATCTTTTCTCATTTTTATCTATCTATATATAATTAATATGTACAGATTTTACTTTCAAACATCTCTCAAGTCAATTTACTTTTCTCTAATTCACAAACACTGTCCATGTTCGAACTACAGATCCAGCAAGTCTCAACCCCTCAGGCACCTGCCAATCTGTTCACACTGCAGGCTAACTGAGTGACCTTTTTAAAATATGCATTTAATTGTTGCTACTAACATTCCCCTCATACTTGCACTTCCACAACTCAAAGAACTTTTCTCTCTTCTTTCTGTCCTTCAGATAAAGACCAACATCCTTAAAAGGTCCACAAGGGATTAATTGAAAGCTTTTTCAGCTCTGAGTCATAGAATCATTTGATCTGTTTTCTCCAGTCTAGCTACATGGACCCTCATATGCACAGGGACTTCATAAGTGCCCTTCCTTCTGAACAAAATTCCCTCAAACTTTCTTATATGAAGCCTATTTATTTTTCAAACCTTGGCTTAAATCACCTATGTAAGAAGTCACTTCCTCTAACTAGCCTAACCAAATCACATCTCCCAATAAAAGTTATATTAAAGTCAAGTGTAATCTTTGTGTAACACACAATTATTGCTATGATTTTTTTTTTTGCTAAGATACAAGGACATGAGGATGTTTTTTACTTCTAATTGTAAACCAAACGCCTAGTATAGAATTCAATATGTAAGAATTCAATATGTAAGAAGAGCTTAATAGATACTTACTGAGTGATTAAGAAGAAAAGTAAAAAGGATTATAAATAATTGTTTGTCTGAAGGGTAGGTAGATGGATAGACACAGATAAATGTTTGTATATATATTACGAGTATATGTGTCTTTGCACATGGTTATCTATTAATATAAATACTTTTATCTTGGTCAATGTACAAAATAAAATAGAAAAAAAACCCTGATTTTACAGCTAATAATAGACTCACAAATTTCGGTTAGATACAGAAAATAAGAACAATGGACAATATATAACACATAATACTTATGCATTCTGAATTTCCCTCCATTATTAAACATCTTTTGCTATTACTTTGATTGCCAGTGACATTCATAATAGTTTAACATATGTCAACATAATGCATGTTCTTTTGAGATTATGCTATCTAATTTTTAAATCCCAAATTTATGAATGTTTAATAGAAACTTTTTTAAAAAACAAAGCATCCAGTTATTAATTATTCAGTTAGTAAATGCCATTGGTCGTTTATCACAGTTGATTTTTTTCTTCAGATGCTCTAAGGGAATTTTATGAAATACTTAGAGTTATATGAAATTTAATGTATGAGCATGGTAGCAGTAATAAGAAGCAGCAAATTTCTAAGATAATTATAAATTTAATAGAATCATCATATACTGTCTTTTTGCATAGCAGAAAAGGCAAAGAGAAGTAGGCATGTTTAGCCTAGCTTTCAAAGGACTTGCAATTGAGATGACCAGTGTGTAATATATTTGGTCAAGGGAATAGAGTCCAATATCCCCAGCTTACCATCTTGTGTGTCAAAAACACTGACTTGTATAATGTCATGAAACTGAGCAGTGAGATTGGCACCATCTGTGTGGAGCTGAATGTTTATCACCAGACATTGTCAAGTGTTGGGGGCAGATTTTTTAGTCCAGCAAGGCATATGAGATTGTAGCCCCCATCTATTCCTTTTCTGAACTACTTCTAAGGTACTAGAACTGGGGAGGAGGCAATGTAAATGGAAGAATGCTTATATATCTGTATATGAGAAAAAAGCTATTCATCTTTTGATAGAAGTACAAAGGGAGAACGGTAAGGGAGGAGTTGCTATGTGGGGGTAAATCTGGTGGATAGAGTGATATATAAAACTAATATTTTTGTTCATGGTATCCATATATTCATCTATTCACCAATTATGAGTTGGGACCTACTGTGTCTTAGGCAATAGAGCTAAACAGATAACATTTAAAATTTAGTTCAATTATTAATTGCCTAGTGAAGGAAGCCAACAAGTTAATAGATCAATATAATAGAGTGCATTGGAAGCCATGATAAAGATGAAAACAAGATAGTTTTTAGAATATCTGAGGAGAGATTTCCTAACTAGGGAAATCTTGGAAATTCTTTTGTTTCATGAGAATAAGTAAAAAATGAGTAAGATTTAGCAGAAAAAGGAAGACGAAAAAGTTGTTCCAGACAAAAGAAACTCCAAGAGAGAAATATCCCACAGGAGCAGGTGATGGAACAAATAGAATTATTGACTTTATTATAGTTGAAAGAAGTGATTCACTCAGTCAAGTATTTTGTCAGTATCCATTATATGCTCAGTTATACAATTTTTCCAACCTTGAATGGTATATTATCTCAGAGTTTTAAATTTATTACATATGTTACTTATATTTTCATGAATGTTCATAAGGCAGTTAAGGAAAATATCCTTATTTTACTGTCAAGAGATGTATTGTGAATGAAGCTAAAATCAAACTGTTCAGTATATTAAAATAGTTATTAATTGACTGATTCATTCAGTAAATAATTATTGAGCTCAATTTACATGATAGTCACTGTTTCAGGTGCTGCAGATGCAGTAGTGAAAAATACAAGTTTCCTGCCCTATGGGGCTTACATTACAGAGAACTACATACATACATACATACATAAGTATGTAAATATGAGATTAGTGCAAAAGTAATTGAGGTTTTTGCCATTACACGGTAGGTCGCAACTCATAATTGATGAATAGATGAATGTATGGATACAATGAACAAAAATACTCATTATATATATGTGTGTGTGTGTGTGTGTGTGTGTATATATATATATATGTATATATATATGTATATATATATATATATCACTCTATCCACCAGATTTACCCCCACCATTAAAAGTAATGGAAAAAACCTCAATTAATTTTGCACCAATCTCATACATACATTTATATACAGTATGTACATATGTACATACATTCATATACATATTTTGCCATTAAGAGTAATGGTAAAAACCACAATTACTTTTGCACCAGTCTCATACATACATACATTCATATACAAACAAACGCATACATACACAAATTATACGTTGAATGGTGTTAGTTGCTGTATTAGTCCATTCTTGTACTGCTATAAGAGACCAGGTAATGTATGAAGAAAAGAAGTCTAATTGGCTCACAGTACTGCAGGCTGTACAGAAGCATAGTAGTTATTGCTTCTAGGGAGGCCTCAGAAAGCTTCCAGTCATGGCGGAAGGCAAATGGGGAGCAACACTTCACGTGGCCTGAGAAGAAGCAAGAAAGGGATGGGGGAGGTGTTATACACTTTTAAACAACCAGGTCTTGTAATAACTCATTCACTCACTGTCATGAGACAGCACCCAGCGGTTACTGCTAAACCATTCGTGAAGGACTCACCCCCGTGATCCAGTCACCTCCCACCAGGCCCCAGCTCCAACACTGGGGATTTCAATACGACATGAGATTTGGGTGGTACACAGATCCAAACTATATCAGGTGCTATGGAAAACTAGAAAGAAAATAAAAGGAGATGAAGGATGTCAGATAGAGTTGGATGGTCTGACTTTCCTGATCTCGCTTTATATAGGGTAATAAGGAAACACCTTATTGATAAGGAGATTTCGGATTAGAGACCTGAAAGAGATAAGAGGAAGATCCAGACCAAGGGAATACAAAGTACAAGAGCCCTGGAGCAGGATCATGCAGGAACCCAGTGAAGAAAGCAAGAGAATGACAAAGATGAGATCAGAAAGACAGTAGAGGGCCAAGTCATCTAAAAGGGCTTGAAGGCCATTGTGCAGAGCTACTCAGGACCCATATCAAAGCCTTTCTTTATACCATATATAACCACCTCTCGTTAGTCCAGCAGGAAAAACTCAATGTTTCATCAGATAAATGTGTTTTCTTAATGTTTTTCCTGAAGAAAGAGCAGTATCTCTCTCTCTCTACATACATATATGTGTGTGTGTGTGTGTATATATATATACACATAGTGTGTGTGTATATATATACATAAATATATATAGTGTGTGTATATATACACACACATAAATATATAGTGTGTGTGTGTATATATATATGTGGCTTTCATCATTTAATTTTCAAAAATAATTCTATTGATTTAATGTGCCACCAGAGTGTAATTAAAAATTATCAAATGGGGTCACAGTTGTAGGTGGGCATTTGTGTTTGTGTGTTTGTGGAGAGATGAGCAATAAGGATGGTAAATTTGAATTAAATAACTTTCTATAGAATCCTTTCAATTTCGTGGCCTGTCGTCTTTTGTATTTTCAGTTAATTTATGAATACATTATCAGAAAAGAATCTTCAAGTAAGTACAGTTGCTGAAGAAAGGATTTCAAAAAATATGTTACAGAATTTTGTAATTAAAAGATTTATTTTGATAAACTGATGCAGATGTTTGCATGTTCTTTATCTTTGAAGGATATTTCACTAAACACAATCTTATGTGAAGATATGACAGTTCTTGTTTGAACCAATTTAAAAAGTGTCTTTAGTCTGATAATAAATCATTCATATCCACCATGCACAAATTTCTCCTATCCTTCCCACAACTCAACCACATACATATGTAATGTATCAGATTTACTTTAAAAAAGTTTAAAAAATAGCATACATTCATTTTTTTAAAATAATGTGCCCATTTTCCTAACTAATTATAAATCAATATTTGGTATAACCCATGCAGGAATTAACAGTAGTAGGCAGCACAGATTGCATGTGCCTTTCTGAGATTGTTCTGTGCTCTTCTGTATTTTAGAATGAGGAGCCCGTGTTTTCTAGAGACGGCAGCAAATTCTTTATGACAGTGCCTGTTAAGCAAGGGGGACGTGGAGAATTTCACCACGTAGCTATGTTCCTCATCCAGGTAAGTGCTGGCTTTTTTCCATGTTTTGATTTCATTGTCCTCATGTCCCCGAAGGCCCAGTTCTTGTGGCATTCTAAACCTCTAGTTCATGGTGGTGAAACCCAGCCATATATACAACTCACAGACATCTTAGGAAGAGGACCTCCATCCATAGCCATACATTCAAGCCTTACCTTCCCACAAAACAGTCTCAACACTCAGTACAATTTAATGAGTTACATGTGTGTCCTATGAACTGAGGGCTTTGGGATAGAGAATTTAATAAATTAAAAGCACCCAACTTTTGAGGACCTGAGATAATCTAGAGAAGATTTTTTATTCAATGAACATATATATAACCTATTTTGTACAAGTAATATTCTCCAGGTGTTATAAAAGTTTTAAATACTCAAAGGAACCTAAATGTCCATCAAAAATTGATGGTTGAATAAATTATGGCACATCCCCACAAGCAAATACAGTGCAGATTTTTAAAAAACAGGATAAAATAGATGTTTTATGTTAAATAACATAGATTTCATGTTGTAAAATATAATCTATGTTTTTTTTTTAGACTTTCCGATAAAAAGAGGGGAAAGGTTACTTTTTATCTAATCAAAAGAATATGAAGGGTTTATACAGTTTTATTATAAAAAAATTAGTAAATTCAGGTAGTTAGTTTAAATTTGACAAGGTTATTGAGTCAATCTGAATTTAATTTCCAAGAGCAAGCATACATGAGAAAATAAAGCATCCTTCAAAATCATATAATAAATAATCTAGTCTCACACACAGGTTAAAGGCTTTCTAATGAAAAGTCACTGTGGCTAAACTGGGATCTTCATGAGTGTTTTACAAACTAGCTAAGAGTAATTTCATACTTACAAAATATAGAATAAATATAAATATGGCAAAGATACCTAACTGACCTTACTAATTTTATGTTTTTAGAACCTTTAAGACCTGTGCACATTCTCAAATGATTACCATTATCCATATACATTTGTATTGGACAGCTTAATGCTTTAGAGTCTCAAAATCTTATGTCACTAATTTAAAATTTAAAACTTGTTCAGGGTCTGTGTAATTAAAATAGTTGTCATTGTTTTAACTTTAATTTTAATTACGACTGAAAGAAATAATTTGGAATACATACAATTTCCACAGTACAGATGTAGATTGATTTTCATAGTATATTATTAAGGTGGAAAAACAGGTTATAAACTAATGTATAATGTGATCCTATTTATGCTCTAAATAAATGCATTTATAGATGCATTTATATATGCATTTATAGATGAATAAAATTTTGGATGTTTTTATATCTAGCTATTAAAATGATTATATAAGTCAGGTATAATTAAGGGAACTTTTTTTATGAAACTGAAAGGAAATAGACTAGCAAATTACTTTACTTTATAAACTTTTGCTAATTAAGAGTCAACTTGGTTATCACAAATATTAGAGAACTATTTTGGCCCCTAAAATATCACACTTCCCAAATCTTATAACTGATTATGACATTTCATTGAATTTTTAAATTTCAGTATTTTATATTCTAGAAGCTCTGTGAAAAATATAAGTAGTAAAGAAGATTACCTACAAATTATAGATATTTGTAAGAGATAGTGAAGGATAGGAAAAGTTGTACGTCTTTGTGTATGTAATTCCCCAAAGAAGACAATCTATCCTTGACTGTAGGTACCCTGCTGTGCTTTCAAATGCTAGATCTTACCCATTCTATCTACCTATATTTTTGTATCCATTATTCAACAAATAAATAATAGAAATAATGTCTTTGTAAAAGTATGGCGTTGGGTAGGGTTGTGATGTTGACATGCAGGAATTAAAATATTTATACACCCAAACCAAGAATTTTTTTATAAGCCTAGGGAAGAAATACCTTCTGTTTCTCAGTCAAACCAGCCTAATATGTAGGCAAATTCCTGTATTTCTGAAATGTTCAGAAGAAAAACTTAATAAAGTTCTTACATTGTGTTTACTTTGTTCCTCTTCTATATAGGGACTATAACACAGCCTTCATTGAAGTAGAAAACATTTTTTTTCTATTCTGGTTGCTGTTTAGGTAATTTGTGGTTTGCCTCATTGAGAAATGAACATGACTGCATGATTATTTATGAATATTTTGGCAATTGATTAAAATTAGTCTACTTTGCTAATGAGTCAGAAGTCAGTGCTAGGTAAATACAATTTATACATAACTTTGAACACACACAAACACAATCACATATGTTATTTTAGGAAATGGTTTGAATCACCTTGCCTCAATTTAAAAATAGCTAACAAAAAAGCTATTTATGAATTGTGTATGACTGCTTAATTGACATATATGCACTATAAAATTCTGAAAAATTCAAACTTAATAAACTGATAAAGGAGTATATAAAAATCACCCACAATATCATCACCTCATATTCTCACACTTTTAATCCATTATTGTGTATATTTTACATTCTTTTTTCATGAGAAATATATGATTTTCCCCTAAAGATTGCAATTAAAGCATAATATAGATTTGTAACATTAAAAGAATAACTAATGAGTGTTTTCTTACAACATTTAATTGTATTCCTAATATTTAACATTTTATATTTTTCTTAAATGTGATTTTAATAGCTGCTCAGCATTACAGCAAGCAGATATACTGTACTGTATTTATTTATTTATTTATTTATTTATTTATTTTTTGAGACAGAGTCTCAGTTTGTTGCCCAGGCTAGAATGCAGTGACACGATCTCGGCTCACTGCAACCCCCTCCTCCCAGGTTCAAGCCATTCTCCTGCCTCAGCCTCCCGAGTAGCTGGGATTACAGGCACCCGCCATCATGCCTGGCTAATTTTTGTATTTTTAGTAGAGGCGGGTTTCACCGTGTTGCCCAGGCTGGTCTCGAACTTCTGACATCAGGTGATCCACCTGCTTCAGCCTCCCAAACTGCTGGGATTACAGGCATAAGCCACCACGCCCGGCCTGTACTGTATTTAAATGATCCAAGTTTATTCATCATTAAAGTTATTTCTATATTTTGATGTTAGAAATGATTCAGAGTTAAAAGCCCTTATAAACACTTTACTTATAATTCTTCCCGCAAAATTATATTTCTAGATGTTAAAAGATACCCAGGCAGGGTATATCCATACGAATGTATTTGTTTAGGTTTTGATGTGTAATGCCAAATTGGCTCTCCAAAAAATAGTACAAAAATTTACTGCCTAAACAGTAATGCATGCCAGCATTGATGACTTTTTACCCCCTTTCCTTCCCTTGCTGTGCTACATGATTCTACTTAAAGTTGTCGTGCCTGAAAAGTGAGAAATGACAGGACTGGGGCCTTGGCAGCCAACAGTCAGCCAGGTCACCTTTGCAGTACTTGGCGCTTACCTATGTTTGAGAGCTTACTAGTTCACTCAGAATATATTTATTTGCTTGAAGTACCTTACTAAATGAAATTACTAAATTTTTGCAAACATTTTGCTCTCTCATATTATCAGTAAGTAGATAAAAATCATTAATTAGAGACCAAGCTAGACAATTATTGATTTCAAGCTATTTTCATTATGGAGAGTGATGGCGGTCACTACATATATTTTAGTGGGTTTTTTTTTTTCCTCATTTACAAGAGCTGTCCTTGTTAAAGTGATTCCAAAGGATACAAATAAAAAGAGAAAAGAATGCATGTGTTTTCCTCCAGTCTTCATTTAAACATTATTGTAATTTTATGTAAACTACAGTATTGCATCCTGATATGTCAAATTTAAATTTTAAATGCACACTTTTCCCACAATGCTAAATAATTTTGAAAAATAATTCTTTAGAAGATTAATATTGAGTTGACTGGATGTGCATCAATAACCATTATTTGTTGTTCTGTGTTTAATTTAGTGGCAATTTGTTGTAATGATAGATGTCACTGTATATAAAGCTTATTTATATTGTGGATTATTTCTTTAGTATTGATTAACAAAACTGGAATAGCTGGACCAAAAGTAAAAGATTTCTAAGCCCTAATATATGTATTTCCAGATCACTTTCAGTATGAATATATGAAAGCAAAATTTGTGAGTGTTTTCTCCACTTTCATATATTCCATTAAAGAAAATATTAAATAAAACTATGGCTTTTCTGGAAATCTATATAGCTAAAGAAACTGTTCTTCTGGATAGAGTGTTTTGTACACGTATTACTATCAGTTTATGTACTTCCTGAGTCATACACTGATACAAAACCTTTTACCCCAGACCATTAAACTTTTGATCACTTCAGATATTCGCCCCTTTGCCCCTTGAAAAATATTTGTTATGTTGACTTCAAACTTCTGAATTCTCATCTCAGGAACTGTAACATTCTACATCCTGCAATTCAGGCTGCAGTGAAGAGATAGGTTTTTATCAAAGGTATAGCACCTTTTTCTCTCAAAGATGGAGTAAGCAGAATTTTCATTGTGTTCAGTCGTTCAGATTCATAGGCGTAAGGAATGGCCCTGTCACCTTCTAAAATTGTGTTAAATGAAAAATTATATGTGGGTGAATCCATTCACTTTCTCTATTCAGCAACACGAAGTTTTGCCCATGAGAGCTGATGATTTCACTTGGAACGATTTTAAGTGGCATTATTCACTACAAATACTGTGGAAAACAGCATGCCCCCAATCCACAATTTTATCACCTAATCAACCCAGTAAAATTTTTGCATTAAGTTTCACTGCTGCATCTGATTAGGACATTGTCTGAAAACAATGAGCTCATCTCATGTGGTGAATAGATGGCAAATTAAAGCATGCTATTTTTAAGCACTACAATATTTCCCTTATTTAGAAACTATAAAAGTGAACATTTAATATAAGAAATGTGAATGAATAATGTGTAATTAGGTAAAAAGAACATGCAGGGTTAAACTTGTATTGATACCCAATGTGTTTCCAATTTGTAAATCGCATTATAAAACCAATATTTAACTTCCTTGAGCAAGATAAAATCTCTATGAATTGAAGGTCACTTGTCTGGTGTCTAATGCTCCAAATAAACACTCTATTCCAAATTTCCAGCCCTCTTTTAAGAATGAATGAGCTCACGACTTTTGTTGCTTTTTAGTCTGAAATTAAAGTTGAAATATTAGTTCAATTTAAAATACATTGTCATACTGCCTTTATCAAAAGTCTACTACAGTTTTATATTTATATTCAGTATTTCTATTCTACCAAGTTAATATTGCAGAGATTATGGATTCACAGAAACAAAGAAATGTTATTGTAGAGAAAAAATGCTGTTCTTTCCTGCTTTGTTAAGTGATCTTTCCTGTGATTGCATTTCTGCTGAAGGTGCTTAAAAACCTAACTGAAGTACAAACATCCCCTTGTGAAATCTGCTCAAATACTGTGATATTTATTAAGTGTTGTTCAGTCATCTACCATATTCTGATTGGTATTAAGATTATTAGCCAGGTCAAAATTAATGTGCTCACTGCTGTGACAGTCTTATGTAGATTATTAGAAAGTAAATCTTTGCTATTATATGCAAAATGAGGGTTCAACTTGTTCCCCATACCATATTTGCCCTGGTAGATTAAAAGCAAGCAAGGCAATTACAGCTGTTTCAAATAAAATCAAAAGGTTATATGGTTGTTATTAAGGCTTCCAACAAGAGATCTTTTGGTCCTACACTTGAAAGTGTAATATTTTGAACTAAAAGGATCATTGAAGTAAATCATATATAATATTTTTTATACTGTGTTCAAACATTTTTCAAAGCATTGGGTTTTTACTCATGGCAATTTTAATGTTGTATCTCATTTGTCTTTAAAACACACATACACACACACACACACACACACACACACACACCAAAATACTCTGAAAAACAGAGAAAATAATTAACCTAGAAATCTGTGGGCCAAAAGTGTCTCCAGATGTTTTCAAATATTGAGCAAAGTTTCTTCACTTTTTTAATGTTTTGAGATTATTTTATCTTGAAATTGGCATCAAAGATGCACTAAAACCTTGAAATTTTAGTATCCTGTCCTTGGCTCATTCAAAGCAGGGCCTGGAAACAAGAAAGAGGAGCTATCCACTGAGTTATTTGCCTGTGTGAACTTGGCAATAAAATGTATGACTTTAGAACTCTGTGCCAGCCTTTGGGTTATGCAGTTCTCATATCTCACAAATTGGGTGTCTTTGCACTTATACCTCTAGTCAACAAATACTTGTAAATCAGTAGTACGTCAGATAGTATACAAAGAAGTTGATATAAAGAAGTCACAGGCTTGCTGTTGACCTTAAGCAGCTAGACGTCTAGAGAACTTCCACTAAGAACATAAAATAGACTACTTAGGGAGATATTGAAATGCAAATACATACCAATAAGACAGAAAATTTTTCAAAGGAAGATTCTGTTAGTACACATGTGCAGTAAAGTATGGAATGCCCTTTTAGTTTACACTTTCAGTTGTGTGGGAAAATAGATGTTATAATAAAACTATCCTATATGAACCTAATTCTGAATTTATTTTTACCAAAAATGCATTGAAAGCATTACTCAGCTGACAGATTACACTCTCTGAAGACAATGAAATTGAATTGCACAAATAACAACATTTAAAAGGTTATACATTTGGAAACAAAATATAATTTCTATTCATAGTTTCAAGAAGAAATCAGCAAACACTTAGAACTAAATGAGAATACTACATATACGAAAATATGCAATACATATAAACAACAGTTTTTAATATATGCAATAATTTTATATGCATATATGAAATTATGTATATATCCAATGTCAGAATTTAGAAAAGGAAGAGAATAAATTCAAATGTAAAAGAAAGGTAATTAGAAATGAAAGAATAGCACTTATTAATCTAGTAAGCAAACATGAAATAAAGCAGTATGATAAAACAAATAGTAAGTTATTTGGAAAAAGTAGTTGAATCTATAAGAGCTGTCAAGGGTAATAATAACTTGGACAGTTCCAAAGTATAAATAATGGAAAGGGACAAAACTACAGATTTTAAAAATATTAAAAGAATACTATGAATAACTTTACATTGATAAACTTGAAGTTTAGGAGAAATGGATGCAATCTAGAAAAAAAAATCAAATCAGATTTAAGAAACAATCAAAATCCTCCATAGTGTTAAGAAAATGGAATCAGTGATGTAGGATTTTCCACATCAGGGAAAGGTTGTTTTTAAAAGTGAATCTCACCAAATATTCTAGGAGTACGCACTTCCAATTTTATATTATTTTGAAAATGAAAAAATATGGCATGTCTTTAGTACAATTTATGACATGGGTATCATCTTGTAACCAACACGAAATTAAAACAGTATCAGAAAAGACAGTATAAGAAAGCTTAAAAATACTAAACCAATTATTGACAAGTTGACTTATTTAATGCATTTAAAAAATTAACTCTTATTTTTTGAACAGAAATGCAAAATTTACTTAAAATTTCAAAAATATGTAAGATAATTAACTGCATTTAAATTTTCCTGAGAAAATTATAATCACCTTAATAGATGCAGACATAGGATCCAAGTAAATTCAACAAAATCAGTATTCAAAAACCTTAGAAATTTAGGAATAAAGGGAACTTCTTTAAGGTGATGAAGGCACTTGCCAAAAGCTTTATTCATATAGCATAATTGATAATGGAGCAGTAGTAATATTCCCTTTAAAATCAGCACTGAGATAAGGAATCAGAGTGAAGTAGCTTGAGTATACACAACACTAGAGATAACAGTTGTTTTTGTTTTTAGCTGTTGTTGTTTTATACTTGAAGCTCTGGGGTACATGTGCAGAAGGTGCAGGTGTGTTACATAGGTATACACGTGCCATGGTGGTTTGCTGCACCCATCAACCCGTCATCTACATTAGGTATTTCTCCTAATGCTATCCCTCCCCTAGCCCCCAACCTCCTGACAGGCGCCATTGTTCAGCTCCCACTTATGAGTGAGAACATGCAGTGTTTGGTTTTCTGTTCTTGTGTTACTTTGCTAAGAATGATGGTTTCCAGCTTCATCCATGTCCCTGCAAAGGACATGAACTCATCCTTTTTTTACGGCTGCATAGTAGTCCATGGTGTATATGTGCCACATTTTCTTTATCCAGTCTATCATTGATGGGTATTTGGGTTGGTTCCAAATCTTTCTAATCCATTCTAATCAGTGTTCTCTAACTACATAAAGTGGTTAAGGAATAGAATGATAGTATTTCTAAGAATACTTTTTGGGTCAAACAATATATATTTTTTAGACAATACTACTACCTGTTTTTTACATATTAAAATGTTGGTCCTATAAACACCTTGGAAGCATTGATTAAGCTAATTACCTTCATCAACATGAATTCATCTCTGAAAAAAAATTATTGCATTAAATGGCAAATCTTATAACAATGCCCATACTGCAAAGGTTAAAATGAATACAAACCTGAGTATTTATTGGAGTAAAGTTTGTTCTAAAATGTTTTTTTTTTTTAAAGCTAACTGTACAGCTGCCAGTCATTTACATGAGAGTGATTAAAGTCCTACCTTGGAAGCAAATGCTGCCATCAACATGGTATACTTGATTCACCCTCACCTGGAGGAGTTTTCTGAATGACTTTTCTATAGTTGAAATGAAGGCACTAACCTACCTGCCTTGATCTGTGTTTATAGGAATGCATGTTCATTCTTGAGCTGTGGAACAGAAAACTGAGTGTTAACTGAGAATTAGAGAATTCGAAGTGTCACAAGCAGTTGGTACATTCGTGTTTACCAGAGAGATGCTGTTTAAATGAAAGGAAAATCAATATTTTCTATTTCTTTGCAGAGTAAAAGTGAGCAAATTACCGTGCGGCATCTGACATCAGGAAACTGGGAAGTGATAAAGATCTTGGCATACGATGAAACTACTCAAAAAATGTGAGTGTTTTCAGTTCTCTAGTCAGGCTGCAAGTTAGCGTTGTCAAATGCCATCTTTTCTAATAGAATTATGTTTTGCTTACCATAGTCCTAGTCAAAACAAGCCAGCCATGGAAAGAATAACCTTTCTTTAAAGACCTCTTCCACACTTCACACAGAGACATCTTACACAGAGGGATGTGTGTGTGCACACGCACACACACACACATATACTCACACACAGTGATTGAGAGAGGTTATGAAAAAGGATGATTTTATCAGGGGAAAAAAATATGTTTCCTAGTTTGATCATAGCCCTGTGTTTGTATAGCAAAACAACTCCTGTCTGTATTTTGACAGTTTTAAAAATTCAAGTGAAGATTTAATGTGAAAATTCAGGTGAAGATTCAATGTGAATTCAGGATTCAATGTGACAATGTGACAAAATTCACAGATCACAAAAAATAGATCTGTGTCTAATGCTTGTGTTGTTTTCTTTCCTGGACAGTTACTTTCTGAGCACTGAATCTTCTCCCAGAGGAAGGCAGCTGTACAGGTAAGCAGTGTGCAAGGATCTCCTTACACAGATTGGCTTCTCAATGGCTATCTATGTAGCATAAGGAAGGAAAGGAAAAATTTGAAATGTCTTTTTCAACATGGCTAGGAAGAGCCAACTTTGCTGACAAAGCTTCACACTCTTGCACCAGTCTCTCCCTTGACAGGACTGGAGAAAATGGAGCCCTGCTTGCTCCTTCCTGCTCTGCAGCCTCCTTATTCTTTTCTTCACCTGCTTTTGCAGTTTCTTAATATCTTTTTTGTGGCTTATTTCTCTCAACTCTCCACATCAGAGAGATTTACGTATTTTCCCTCGTGCCTTCATCTTCTGCTAAGTCTCATTTTGAATTTTCAGTGCATTAATGTGGCACAGGTGAAATTTATTCTTGTACAATATAATGTTGTTGTGAACAGTTAGTCTAGTGTATCAAGCAGGAAGCTTTCCCTCTTTGTCTTGTTGTTCATAAAACCCAGTGAGATTGTTGCAGGAGGAGGCATCCTTATTTAAATAAGGAACGCTCATTGCTTGCTAAAATAAAGCAATATAGGGGAAAATAATTACATTTGTTCAATTTCCCAAATGCAAAACTATACTCAAAAAAAGGCTTAAGCTCACACCTATTTAGTATTAAAATGTCTCCTCACTCAGAGAGCTTTCACCAGGATCTCACAAAAATGACTTTTATTTTTGGCTGGCAAGCAACCTATTAATTCTAGACTTTATATACATGTTCTAATTTCCATTTCACAGATCCATTTTTAAAGTGTCAAAACTGCCATGACATATTCTCAGGGGAAATTCATCATGTTTTAAGAAGTGTCACCACTAATTCTTACCGAGTAGTACTGACTTTCCTTTGAGAGTAAAAATGCATGCTTAAAGTACCCCGACTTCCTCTGCATCACCCCCACACTCTTATTTATACACAATTTGCTTTCATCAGAAGCAACCTTGTCCTTTTAATCGCCTTTCTTAATACATCATTATTATAAGTTTATTCTCGTGGACCTCCTGGAACGCATGTTCTTAATTCTGACTTCCAGGAAGCAAAGCTATTCATATAGAGATAGTGATTTGAATTTTGGATTCGGGATCTTGATCAAAGTACTGGTCACTTTTTCTTTTGGTGACCTAAAGCTTATCTTTCTTGAAACATACATTATGATTGATATCGGTAGCCATAAACTGTAGCTTAGAGAGATAGAAACACTTTATATCTTATAAAACTCTCATTTTATAAAACTCAAAGAAAAATGACAGCATCAGAAGATTAGACTTGGTCAAGTTCAGCAAATGGAACTGCCTCAATCTTTCTTCCCATTATTAGTGTAAAATGTGATTTGAATCATAATGACTTCTTAGATTTGTGTGCTTGTCTTATCTCTCTAGTGACTGAGGCAGAACAGTCAATGTATCTCTGACATGTACTAGTGTAGTCGACAGTGTTACAAAGAAAATGTAGTAGCAATAAATTTTCCCTTAAATAGCTCATCAAATGCCAGTTGGCTTGACTGTAAGATAATGTTAGTGTTTGACCCAGAAAATGCAATCAATGTCTTGCCCAGGCTATAAAAATGATCACTGGTTGACTTAATATATGGCACTAGGCACCCCTGCAGGAGTAGGACTGCTACCGTAGTCATTGTTACTTTCTTTGTCTCAAAATTTGTGTCTCTTTATTTCAGCAATCTCATAATCTAAATAATGAGAAAATACCACATAAATCTCCAGGGAGCTTGGATCTAAAAGCTTTATGGAAGAGTAGAGAGAAAAAGGTTTTAAATCTTAGTATGTCACTGAATAGCTGTATGCAACTGGGATACTTTCTAAGCTTTTCTGTGGTGAAAATTGTACAATGTTGTGAATGTAATTAATGAAACTGAATTGTACACTTAGAAATGCTTAAAATGACAAATGTTATGTTATACAGGTTTAACCCAAATTTTATAAAATGAAAAAAAATGGCTATGGATATTTTATAAGTTATCATGAGTGAAACTAATATGATTTGTGCTTGGTATATATTGTTTTGAGTATTATAAGGAAATTTTTGGATTGTAATCATCTCACAGTGTTTCAAATATGGAATTGTGATTTTGTGAACTGTTTCTTGTAGCTGCCTTAACACCCCTGTTCCAATCCCCATACCTACAGCGTATTGCACATCAAAATCAACGTGAATATTGTTCATTTGTAAATATACGACCAAAAATCATGTTTCATTCCAAAATGAAATTGAGACCTTTTGTCTGATCAAGTTTTTCTAAAGGTATTCTCAACAGTGTTTTCATCCATTGACCTACCAAATTTTGCATTCAGACTTATTTATTAAATAAACAATTTGATAAATGAAATTTAATCTTATATTAATTTTTCAACTCCTGTAACCTTAAGCACCACTATTGTAAAATAAAGATGGTGATGACTCTTCTTTTTACCACCTCATTATGTCAAAGTGTGTATTGTTGTTAGTGTTATATGTGTTATAATACAAATGTAACTTTTTTAAAATCAGTAATTTTTCTGCAAGTAAATGATGGGGAAAATTTGGCACTGATACCAAATTCTAATGTTTAGAATGTTTAATTTAGAAAATCATGAGCTGGATTTTTTTGTTTGACTTGTGGAAATGCATATTCCTTCTTTCAATTAGTATGTATTAAACATTGAATAATCTCTGTGGGAAATTCCCTTTAAGACTTTACACAGAAATATCTATTAAAAATGCAAAAAACAGTAAGTTAATTTGAGTTCCATTGAAATCAGTTCTTTGTTTATAGCCATACATACAAGTGTACATATTACATACATAAAATAATACATAATTTTAATTTTAATAGATTAAGAAAAATGTGTATGTTTTAACATTACTAATAGAAGGTGACTTTTTATGTATATGGTGATTCATAGTTTACAGTGAACCTCTATGCAAGCACCGATGTAACTCCCTTGTTTATATTATATTTAAATATGAACACCACACATTCAAGTGCCTAGAATAGTAGCATTTCTATAATAACTTCCTTTTTCTTTCTCCAGTGCTTCTACTGAAGGATTATTGAATCGCCAATGCATTTCATGTAATTTCATGAAAGAACAATGTACATATTTTGATGCCAGTTTTAGTCCCATGAATCAACATTTCTTATTATTCTGTGAAGGTAAGATAATACATGAATTCTGATATAATATATTTTATTCATTGTATTTGGTCAATATCTGTTGGTATCAGCAACTATTACTCTAGATGATTTCATAATCTTAATTTATAAATTTTTGTTAATAGGATATACATTATATATAGACTTACTGAGATACAATTTTTTACATATTTTGTATAGAAATAAAAAATGAGAATAAGTCAATAAACATGCACACATAATTAATAAGTGCTATTTGAACATGAGCAACTTTAAAAGGTGAATAAATATATTTACATCAGCGAGGCCATGCCACAATCATAAACTAATTTACCTAGTCTTCAGAAAAAGTAATAGTCTAGTCTTCTTTTTAAAACAATGCTTTGGTTGTTAAGAGATTTAGGATCTATGGAAATTTAGGACCTGTGGAAATTGAATTCCCCTGCTTCAGAGTTCTTCAGTTCTGATCAATTACATTCACCATTATTACTTCTTCTATCTTGTAACAATATGCGTAGTCTTACATGTTTATACAGTATCTCTACAATATATTCATAGAAATCATTTTCCTTTTAATATGGTACTGTATTTTCCAGAGATTAAATAGAACTCATGTGTCCTCTTATAATATGAAGAGTTGAGTGCTACTACTGCAGCTGATATATTAAGCTGTCCTTTTTTAAGAGACAATGAGAGATATACCAAGACTTACTTTTTGACATTGTTTTTCTCTTGATATATGAAATGAAGTAATCAAAAAAGAAGTCCTTGTTTAATGACACCAGGAAAAAAAAATTAGTTTTAGATGGGATTCCTTAGAGAAGTGAAGTTTCAAGATAACTTTTTACAGTAACAAATTAGCTAGTGTATTTTAAATATTTGAAGATTATGGTTAACGTATTTTTAAATTAATATATAGTTACCACCCAATTTTAAACTTTTCTTATGGATGAACTATTTCCAATATGCGTGCTTTCTTTTTTTGGCTGAGTGGCAAATAGAATTTGATCTTGGATCAGTGGATGAGGGGTGAAAGGGTTGTGAATCAGCTTTGTGAACATCAGTGGCTAGTCTATAAAAGACTAGAGATAAAGAGAAAGCATGTAGAATTGGCTAAAAACATAGAAATATAGAACATTTGGGGGAAGAGAGAATCTTAACAATAATCTCTGCAAATAGTTTCCTTCTCATATATTCTTACCCTTCTGAATAAAACGCTTATAAATAGGAATGAAAGCTAGTTATCTGGTTTCTGTTTTGTTATGTTTTAACCACGAAGTGCTTCCATTTGGGGGGAAAAAACTATTATGTAAACTTTCTAATGATTATTACTTAGACATCTTTAAAAATATTTATACACATATTTTTAAATTCCAGGTCCAAGGGTCCCAGTGGTCAGCCTACATAGTACGGACAACCCAGCAAGTGAGTACACAAGAAGACAATTAAGAATAGTTATGGTTGGCATTAGTCTTAGACATCGTGTTATCTATTCTGAGTCATATCCTCTATAAATTCTTCTTCAAAAAATCCCCACCATGAGGAAAGCTGCGTGTATACCATCAACTTGACCTTATGTATGTAAGAGAAACAGTAAAGCAAGAGATATGAGCCATGTTACAGGTGGGAGGTGAATCTTATATGCCCGAAATAGGATATCTACTACCTAAGTCAAATAGAGTTATTGATGAAACAGGTACATTTTAGCTTACTGGCCTCTTAATGTTCTGGTTCATTCTTGCCTGGGCCTCACATAAGTTATTCCTCCAGAATAACCTTTTGAAGACATTTCAGAAAATTATGAAAAATGTGTTATTTTATATATTTTCTATCCTGTTTGTTCCAGATATCCAGGTTCTTCTAGTTTTGTATATGCACTTTTTCATTTATGAATTTATTCATTTGTATATTTGTTAGGTTTGTTAAGAGATCACCTACTTTTGTCAAACAATGTGACAGAGTCGGAGGGTACACTGAAAGAGTGTTTTGTTCAAGAACTTACAGTAAAGTAGATAAATAAATGCATGGTTGAGCTTATCTTAAAAATGAATAACCAGATTTCATCCTGCCTTCCTTTCTCTTTCCTTTCTTCCATGTTTGTATCCTTCTTTCATTTTTTAAGTTTTATTTAATCAATGCTTCTATTCTGTGATGATTTCACATAAGCTACTATAATCTAATAATGGCTCATATTTATTGACTCACTTGAACTTTGGAATACCTCTGAGATAGTTAATTTGATTATCCCTTTTTACAGGTGAGAAAAATTAGTCTCAAAGAGGTTAAGTGGTAATAACTTGGCCAGAGTCATACTAATAAATGGCAGAACCAGGGATCAAATGAGACAGTCTGACTCGAGAATAGGTTTATAATTCACTACAATATAATAACTACTTTTTCTATTGTGCTTTTGCCTCATGCATTGCATACTCTTATTTAAGTAGGAGTCAGTTAGGTGGCTTGACTTAGAAGATATATAGGTAAAAAAGTGTAAGGTTGAATGACAAATATCATTTTGAGAAAACAGACCAAGACCATTTATATTGTTCAAATAATGTCATATAGACACTTAGTGCATGCCCGAGGCAACAAGAAATTTCTAAATTTGTGTTGGGTTTTTGTGTGGCTGAAAGATGGTTTAGCACACATTTTAGTTTCTATTTATTTCATTATTTCCGTCTTCAGTGTAAACCTTAAAAAGATTATGTTAAGCAAATCAAATATATTCAATATTAACTCTAACGGCAACAATAATGACCATAGACAGTACGGTTGATAAAATGGAAAGAAGGTTGAATCTCATAGATAGAACTATCAGTGTATAAAATAAGTCTATCACATGCTTTTTGTGGGATCCAAGACAGTGCGTTAACATCTCAAAACATCAGTGTCCTCCGAGACAAATAAACAAATGTGTTTGCAGTGAAGATGAGTAACATTCATGACATATAGGACACACTTAATCAATAACTATTTGTGTTACACTGTATATCTTGCCTTTAACAAAGGATGATTAAAAATTTTCCAATCTGATTTTAATTTAATTTTATCCTGTTGTTACAAGGCAATGTCTTTTCTAATAACTTCTGCTGCAAATTACAAAACATTTCTGTCTAAGGGAAATCATGTTATTTTCCTGTTCAAAAGCCAATCATGTTTGTCTCAAGGTCAACAAAAACAAAAAAAGGCTGTGAATAGTGGTCAAGTGCTTAATTTTCTTTTCAAAAGATAATTACTTAGGGAGATAAAATTTATAGTCAATGGCAAGTAAATCTTTGGGTCAATGAAAGCAAATATACCAATGAGTAAGTCATAACTCATTTTTGGGCCACATGAAGTAGAATAGTGCATGGAGAGAAAATTTTAAAAAAGAAAAAGGAAAATATTTAACAAGCATGGAAAACCTTTAAACCCACTAGTTATCAAAGAAACGCAGAAGAAACTACTGCCATGTAATTTTTCCTAACAAATTAATAACATTAAAAATTTACATTACTAATAAAGATAGAATGTGGTAGAAATGTTAATTATAACATATTAAAAATAATAGTCAAAACTTATTTCTTTTGTTTTTTTGAGACAGAATTTCACTCTTGTTGCCCAGGCTGGAATGCAATGGTGTGATCTCAGCTCACCGCAACCTCCACCTCCCAGGTTCAAGCAATTCTCCTGCCTCAGCCCCCCGAGTAGCTGGGATTACAGGCATGCATCACCACGCCCAGCTAATTTTGTATTTTTAGTAGAGACGGGGTTTCTCCAGTTGGTCAGGCTGGTCTCGAACTCACAACCTCAGGTGATCTGCCAGCCACAGCCTCCCAAAGTGCTGAGATTACAGCCATGAGCCACCATGCCTAGCAGAAACTTAATTCTTTTATATCATTTTTTCATTTTTGTAGTTTACACTGAGAAAATAATTCTAAATGGAGAATATTATGACAAAGCTATTGAAAATAGAAAAAGACATTATAAATAACAAATAATGGGAGTTTGTAAGTACATTTTAATGGAATATTACTCAGTGCCCTGGGCATCTTCCATCTGTTTTTCCAGAACCACTTTTAACTCTCAATTCTTCTCTTCGATGTTCTCTGGCCTAGAAGTACTTTCTATAGATGACTTAGGTTCTGTTGCCCCATGGCTTCCAACTGGATTCAACCAAAGGAAATCTTGTAGGCAACTGGAAAGAGGGAGAAAACTGCTCTGGGTTGTTTATTCCACCAGCCGTGTTCCTATGGAGTCACCACAGGTTGGCTGTGACCTTTGGCTGAAGGGAATCTTCACCCTTGACCTTCAGGCCCAGCCACTGTTTTCTTGAAGTTTTCTCTTTTCACTGTGTTTCTGCCAGGTTTTGGTATCAGAATCATGCTGACCTCATAGAATGAGTTGGGTAGGAATCCCTTCCCCTTGATTTTTTGGATTAGCTTCAGTAGGATTAGTAGCAGCTCTTCTTTATACATTTCATAGAATTTGAATATGGATCCATCTGGTTCCAGCCTTTTTCTAGTTGGTAGGCTTTTTATTACTCATTTAATTTCATAAATCATTATCGGTCTGTTCAGGGTTTCAATTTCTCCCTGGTCCACTCTTGAAAGGGTGTGTATGTCCAGGAATTTATCAACTTCTTGTACGTTTTTTAGTTTGTGGGCATAGCGGCACTCATAATAGTCTCTGAAGGCTTTTTGTATTTCCATGGGGTCAGTGGTAATGTCCCCTTTGTCATTTCTGATTGTGTTTATTTGACTTTTCTCTCTTTTTTCTTAGGCTATGTAGCAGTCTATTAATTGTATTTATACTTTCGAAGAACCAACTTTTGGTTTTTATGCTTTTTCACGTATTCATTTCATTCAGTTCAGCTCTGATGTGGGTTTTTTTTTTTTCTTCCTCCTGTAGCTTTGGGATTGATTTGCTCTTGTTTTTCTAGTTTCTCTGAGTGAATATTCACCATTTTTTAAGCATTTAAAATTAAATGCTTAGGATAGCTTCTTTGGAAATACACTAATGTTTAAATAATCAGAGTTTCTTTCCATTTTAAACATGTAAAAAACCTCTTAGAACATCTAGTCTTCCAGATATATATAATAGGGGAAGATATTTACTTACAAAAGAGGTAGTTTGATGTGCCTGAGGTTACACATAGACAGCGTAGTCCAATGGGAGAAACATAAAATTACATGCTTATAACAGTCTATGATTATTTCTCTAGTAAAAGTGCACACAGTTCAGGACAAGAGGAAGTCAATGAGAAGACATTTTCAGAAAAACGAATGTGTGTATACAAACATAAGAACGCATAAAAGTGTTCACATTTGCAAGATAAACATTGTTCATCATAGCTGGAACAAAACATTTACTAAAAGAGCAAAACTATATGAGGCCAGAGGGGCAGACTGGAATTGGATTATAACTCTTATGTTTTCTAAGTAGTTTGGATTCAATCATATTTGTTCAATGATAAACCTTTGACATTTTATTTTATTTTTTTTCTGGCCATGGAGTAACTGGAAATAGACCTGATTCCCTTGTTTCCTTTAATAATAATAAAAAAAAAGAGTAAAGAAAACTGGACAAAATATACAAATCAACTGTTTCCAGACATTCAACAATAGCCAGCATGGGTCTCTGATCCCTGAAAGAAGGAAACAAGTACAATTAGTGTTGTAAGTTCTCTGGCTTTCTTGTTAATAGAAATTTCTGAACTCCAATGCAATAAGGAATAAGCTAATCATAATACAATGATATCTCTGAGTTGAGGAGACAGAAAATGATATTCAGAAAGATTGAGGCTTATGGAATGTTGAGGAATGGTATGGAATTTTATGGAATTGAGGCTTATGGAAAGATGAAACTGGAAATGAAGAAGCCACATGGAGAAAGACATCTGCATAGGGCTGGAAGAGGGATCACCCTGAATCAGCTGCTGAAAATACCTAGCTGAGTATGCATAGGAAGATGCTTCATGAGTGTGGGCAATGCCGGAGCTCACAGAGTGGTGGGATTTGCTCAAGTTATAATCAGCACAGTAGTGGAACATTTAGAAGAGATCCCAGAAGTGTCCTGCCTTTTGTAGTGCTAAACTAGCCATAGAGCAAAGGTCATTCAAATACACACTAAAAAGATTTCTTGAAAAGTCTTGAAATGGTCAACCTGCCTGCAACATATGCCAGAACAAAGTCCAACAATTGTTAGAAGATCACAACAAAACCCAGGCTTTCAAAATGTAAATGTCACAATGGTTGGTATCTAATAAAAAATTACTAGCTTTGTGAAGAAAGTAGAAAATATTACTCATAAATAGGAGAAAGATTAGTGAATAGAAACAAACTCAGAAATGACAGAGATGATGGAAATCACTGGCAAATACAGTAAATTAGCTGTTACAAATACATAAAGCCATCAAGGAAAGAATGAATGTAGAGAGAAAACAAAGATAATATATTTTTATGAAAGAACTTTGTGAATTTAAAATAAAATATTTGAAATATAAACTTCACTGGAAAATACTAAGAACAGATTAGATGCTGCAGAAGAAAAGATCAGTGGACTTGAAACAATATCAGTGGAAAATTTCTTGACACAAATAGAAAAGGAATGAAGAAAGTAGAACCTAAATTAACCATAGGCCAGTATCTACATCTATCATATTTGTAATTAGAGTCAGAATGGGGCAAGGAAACTTGCAAAAAATATTTGATGCAATAACGGCCAAAAATTTTCTAAATCTGATGAAAAAGTTAAAAAAAGTTCAACATAACGGAAGCAGGATAAATGTCAATAAAACCACACTAGCGCACATCATTAGCAAATTATGCAAAACCAATGATAAAGAAAAACATTTTAAATAATCAGAAATTAAAAGACACATTACATCCACATATTATGCACATAGTAAAAACGAATGACTACAGACATCTCATCAGAAAAAAGCAAACTGGAAGACAATAGAACAAAATGCTGCAAATGCTGACGGAAAACCAAACTGAACTAAACAAAAATTCTTAATAGAAAAACAAACCTAGAAGATATTTCTCACTTAAAAATGAAGACAAAAAGAAAGTTTCAATAATAAAAGAAGTGAGAACGTTCTGTCATCAAACTTGCTCTTCTAAATAACAAATTGATCAATAAAAACTAAATAATTAGAAAATATTTTGAGCTGAAGGAAGATGAAAACACATCAGATTCCAATTTACGTGTAACTACAGCTGTGATTAGAAAGAAATTTATGACTCTAACTTATTATATAAAAATAAAAACACAACAGATCCCAATTTAGGGGTTACTACAGTTGTGATTAGAAAGAAATTTATGATTCTAACTTATTGTATAAAAAGAAAAGGTTTAAAATCGATAATCTCCTCTTTCACCTTAAGGAATTAGAAAAAGAAGAGCAAATTAAAACAAAGTTGAAAGAAGGAGATTGAAAAATGACTAAGAAGGAAATGATATTGAACATAGACTAGCAGTAGAGAAAATGTATGAAACCAAAAGTTGCTTCCCTGACAAGATCAATAAAGTTGGCAAAATTCTAGTGAGAGACATGAAGAAAAAGAGAAAAATGTAATGCCATTAATAAAAGAGATGATGTTTATACAAATGCTATAGATATTAGAATGACAATAGTGGAACATTATACGTAATTTTTTGCCAGTATATTAGGCATCTTAGATGAAATGGAAAAATTCCTTAAAATACACAAATCACTAAACATTCACACGAGAAGAAATACAGTATATAAATATGCAATTAACATTCTCCTCACAAAGGAAACTCCAGATGCAGCTAGTTTCACTGGTGCATTTTATGCAACTTTTAATAAGTTAATACCAAGTTTACACAAACTCTTTTTAAAAATATAAGGCAGGCCAGGCGCGGTGGCTCACGCCTGTAATCCCAGCACTTTGGGAGGCCGAGGCGGGTGGAGATCGTGAGGTCAGGAGATCGAGACCATCCTGGCTAACACGGTGAAACCCTGTCTCTACTAAAAATACAAAAAATTAGCCGGGTGTGGTGGCGGGCGCCTGTAGTCCCAGCTATTCAGGAGGCTGAGGCAGGAGAATGGCATGAACCTGGGAGGCGGAGCTTGCAGTGAGCCGAGATCACACCACTGCACTCGAGCCTGGGCAAAAGAATGAGACTCCGTCTCAAAAAAAAATAAAAAATAAAAAATAAGGCGAGTATTGACCAGATTCCAAATCCAGACATATATATTAAGAGGACAAAAAAAAGATCAAATTTTCTCATGAATTTAGGTGCAAAACACCTTAACTAAATAATAGCAAGTCAAACCTAGCAATTATAGAAAGTATGATAGTTTGTTATGGCCATATTGGGTTTACCCAAAGATTCTGTGTTTGCTATAACCTTCAACAAACAATGTAATTCACCGTATTACACTGACACCTCAAAGGAGTTTTTAAAAACTTGAAAATTTTGGCAAACAATAATAATAATAAATTAATAGGAATACCTAATCAAGATAAGATAGAAAAGAAATTCCTGAACTTCATGAATGATATCTGTAAAAATACTACAGCTGACATCATGCTTAATGGTGAAAGAATGATGCTCCTGCCTGAGGACTGGGAAAGTCAAGAATATTTGTTCTCACTCCTTCTGTGCAACATTGTGGTAGAGGACTTAGCCAGTAAAGTGGGTAAGACAAAGAAATATATGCAGTAAAACTGTGTTTATCTGCAGAAGACATACTGTGTACAAAACAAAAAGGAAGGAAACAAAAAATTGTGGAATATACACACAATAAACTATTGAAAATAAGTGAATTTATCATGGTTACATCTGTAGGCCAATACACAAAATTCAACCATTTCATCAATGAAAATGCAAGATTTAGGAGTATTTTTAAAATGCTGTTTAAAGTAACATCAAAAATCCATGGAGTATCTAGGAATAAATCCGATAAAAATGAATACCTCCTCTAAAATCTGTATAATACTGCTGGGAGAAATTAAAGACTCAGATTTCTACAGACATAGACTTGTATATATCTGTATACAATATGTACACATGGATATATGTGTGTACAATATGTATATATGCAAACATATATGTGAATGTATATATATGGATTAGAAGGCTATTTTTTTTTTTTTTTTTTTGAGACGGAGTCTCGCTCTGTCGCCCAGGCCGGACTGCGGACTGCAGTGGCGCAATCTCGGCTCACTGCAAGCTCCGCTTCCCGGGTTCACGCCATTCTCCTGCCTCAGCCTCCCGAGTAGCTGGGACTACAGGCGCCCGCCACCGCGCCCGGCTAATTTTTTGTATTTTTAGTAGAGACGGGGTTTCACCTTGTTAGCCAGGATGGTCTCGATCTCCTGACCTCATGATCCACCCGCCTCGGCCTCCCAAAGTGCTGGGATTACAGGCGTGAGCCACCGCGCCCGGCCTAGAAGGCTATTTTTGTGATGTAAAGTCTCTCCAAATAGATCTATAAATTTAATACAGTGCACGTACCTCAAAATTCCAGCAAGTTACTGATGTCCACTTCATGTTTTATCAAATTTTTTGATGTTTCATTTTTGCTATTTCTCTATTACTGTATTTTCAAGGTCATTACTCTTTTGTTCTTCAGTGCCTAATATTTTATTAATATCACCCAGTATATTTTTCATCTTAGATCATATAATTTTCATGTATTTCAGATTCTGCAGTTTTTATTTTTAGAAATATATAACATGCTCATGCTTTTTCTACCTTATTAAATACCTGAACTACAATCCAGGTGTCCTCATCCTGTGTTTCTGTATCCCTTTTAATTGGTATAGGTACCTAGGTATTGTGAATCGCATCTCATTTGGTGCTAGATAATCTTGTATTTTGCTAAAATATTCTTAAGCAGGTTAACAATATGATCAGATTTGCATTTTGAAAACGTAAATGATAAATTTAATATAGAAGCAAATGAAAAAGTTTTACTGGCCTAATGAAGCTTACTTAGAAAACTGTTGTAGTAATTCAAAAGAGAAATGATGAGTTAATCAGCACAGTGCCTGCCAAATGGTAACAAGTGGATAATTTTTTGTTGTGTCACACTGATTCTGTTTAATGCATAGGGGTTAGCTATTTACACTACCCTTTTTGGTTTACAGAATATTTTATATTGGAAAGCAATTCTATGCTGAAGGAAGCTATCCTGAAGAAGAAGATAGGAAAGCCAGAAATTAAAATCCTTCATATTGACGACTATGGTAAAATTTTGTGCATGCTATGTTATTCAAGAACAACTTTCTCTGCGTCTTATAGTTTTACCTGCAAATGACTCTCCATCTTTAATATTTTGCTCTTTCTTTAAAAGAACTTCCTTTACAGTTGTCCCTTCCCAAAGATTTTATGGACCGAAACCAGTATGCTCTTCTGTTAATAATGTAAGTATTTTATTTGTTTTTAAAATAAAGGAATCTAAAGATTTTATATTTTTGTGTCTCACATGACAACATTTGATTCAATAAAGAAGAGAAGTCCTATGTGTGTAGTTAATCAGGACAGCTGTCTGTTGTCTAAATTCCTCTAGAAGTCCATCACTAAATCATGTATAAAGATGTGTAAATTTTTTTGAACTTCTTGCATCCCACATGGAGTTTGGTGCTACTGCCAGGAATAGTGACACTAAATAGTTTGATTTGTGGGTGTCTGCTTAGCAATTACTCAAGCCCTGCGCTCTTTATCAGTTGTTTATGCAACATTGTGGAACATGTAATTCCACTGCTAAAACAATGGGTTATGTTTGTATCACTCCTATTGATTTTTCCTCCTGCATGCATGGCCTGCAGTAAGCTGCTCCTATGCTCAGAAAACTTGACTCAAGTTTTTTTCATCTTGAAATTGACTTTGAAGTTAAATATCTTTATACATTTTGTAAGGCTATATCATGACTATATAGTATTAGGCACCGAGGCCCCTAACATCTAATGCGTAACTAACTTGATATTGATTTAGCATTGTATTCCTGAGAGTTATAAGTTATTTCCCTTATTAATATGATCAGGTAGCATATTGATATAATAGTGCTTAAAACAGTCTAAAATTATATCTTTAGATACAATAATTTCTTCAGATATAATATTTAGAAATAGTAAATATGAAAATAACATTGCTTATTATGATCACTGAGTATAGTGGATAAGTATTCAGTCTGTGGAATCGGATTTCCTGGGTTCATATTCTAGTTTTGCTATTTATTAGCTGTGTGTCCTTGGGCAAGTTCCTTAACCTCCTACAAGGCTAAGTTTCTCTAAATATAAAACAATCATTACAATACAACCTGTGTTTTAAGACTGCTTTGTAGACTGAGTGAAATACAACATATAAAGTCCCTTAAACAGTGCCTAACACATATGATTCTTATAATTATTGCGATTATAATTCTTTTTTGTATAGACTGCATTTATTTTATTTAGATATTTTAATATATACAAGCAATTTGTCCCTTTATTTTAACAAACCACATAATACAGAAATAATATAATATTTAATTTTCTCTCTCACTCTAGTGTTCATTTCTAATTCTAATTATTGAGCTTTATATAGTTTCTCATATCCAAACTTTTCTCCCTTGTCCCTAAAAGCCAGAAAGCTCTGAAAGTTCTTAATGTCTCCTTGAGGAAGTTCTTATTTGCTGTTTCTTAATTCATTGTTTTTTTTTCTTGTCTTTTTTACCTAGTTTCTTCTGGTCTATTTTAACTGTATGTATGATTTACTGAGGAAAAATGTTTAAGGCACTAAAACGAGACAAAAAGAAAGCAAAAATCAAACCCATCTTCTATCTCAGTCACGTCTCCCTTTGGTAAAAGGAAATGTTCTTTTGATTCACTGAAAAATAAACTTTCTCAAGGAAGGGACATCCCTCAGGCACATCCTAGGCATCCCTCAGTATGTGATGACCTTCAAAATGGAAGATAAAAGAACTGACTGCCCTTGAAGCATGATATTTATGCAGACGAATGTGTAGATAATTATGCCCACTTGCGTATCCACCTGCTGTAGGGCAGTGTCACACATAGGGGGAAAACCGAATAAGAGTTAACAGAATCTCTTTGTTTTCTGAAACAGATAAGCTAACTGGCTCATCTTGGCATCAGACTTGTGTTTTGTTCTGGTTGATTTTTAGTTTATAAGAGGAATATAAGGACCTACACAAGAAACCAATTTGAAGACTTCTCTTATTGGCAAGGGGCACTTGGGGTTTTTTTTGAGAAGTGGGATTTTGGAGCAAAATGCTGGTTTTGGAGTCAGGTAGGACTGGGTTCAAGTTGGAGTGCTGAGATTTAACAATACACTGCTGAATTTTTTGAATCTTCTGTTGCCTTATAAATAAATTGGGGAAAATAACATGGGATAATATTTCTATTTAAATATATTACCATAGTTTTTGGTAGAGCATAAGCACTTGCAGATAGTCTTTAATAAATCATAAGCAGAATTATAATTATTATTAGTATGGTGCAAAAGTAATTGCAGTCATTATAAATGGCAAAATTATAAGTAATTGCATTACTTATAAATGCAAAAACTGCAATTGCTTTTCTGCCAACCTAATATGGATAATAGTATTTTAAAGTATTTAATGTGATTAATATAAATATTTAATGTGTAATTTAATGCCCATAAAGTTATTCAATAGACAGACACTACTAAAATAGATAAAATAGTGCCGTCAGACCCATGGAATTTACTTTGCTACTTTTTTGGTTGATACAGGAAGAATGAATGAAAATGAGTATAAAATCATTTCTAGTTATACTTTGTTATATATAGTTATATATTGTTTATACTAAATATTAATTGACATTATCCACACTTTTGGGTTTTAGAGGGAAATTATCGAAAGCGTCACAGAATGTGACTTACAAAATCCAAAAGGAGAATTTCTTTTTTTTTAAATTTATACTTACAATATGATCTATTCTTTTAAATTGCATGATTATTTCTAAAACACTATGCTTGAAAACATATAAGGGTCAGAATAGCAAAAGTAGAAAGTGTTTTTTAAGAATTTTAAAAACTGCCCATGATTTAAAGCCATATTTTTTCTCAAGCTTAAAAACTGTTTTCAGTGACAAATTGACTTCCCATTCTAAAAGTAATAATAATTATTATTTTTTTCGCAAATGAGCAATTAGACAGTGATAAACAATAGAGCGACTATTATTTAAATGAGTCTAAGAGGTCATTCAGTGATTTTGGTGTCAGTACTTTATTGCAATTTTGTGCCATATATCTGGTAGCCAACAGAATATGAGCCATTTCTTGATCTGTAGTGATGGGTTTACATCCAAGGAATTATATAATGAATGCATGAGTTAGCGTCAGGCTGCAGCAAGCACCTGAGTGGCTGAAAGAAAGACTGCCCTGGAAGAAAGTGGCCTCTGGCAATTTGGAAACCCAGTTCTGCTCAATCTTCATTATGGATCTTCAAAAGAAATGGTCCTCTGACCTCCCTTGCTTGGTCATATGTTTTGAAACTCAAACTTAATCTCGTAACATTTAAAATGTAAGTGAATCAAAGATCAATGTCAATGTCACATTAAAAAGAGTATGCGGGATGGAGTACATACCACATTAATATTTTTACTGTAGAATATTTTTACCATAATGGAAAAATCTAAGAAGCATTGGCACCATAGATGGATCTCAGTGACCTGAGTTTGCTGTGGTCTCTACGGAGTCATGATCCCCTTTTTCTGAACAACTCCTCCAATTCTCCCTTCAAGTGCCTATTTGTTTTACTCCTGCCTTTCTGTTTAACATTATAGGGAGCCCTTAAGGACCCGGAGTCCTTATTCATTTTTAAACTTATTCTATACACATCTGTATTCATTCCAGCTCTTATAACCTCGTATTGTTCTTTTTTAATATTATTCTTACTTCCTACTCATGTTTATGTAATTTAATACCATACACGTCTACCACATTGCTTTTACATATGAGAAGCCGTGTTAATGGCTATGGGGAGATAACAAGATTGCAAGCATCTTGAAGTCTATAATAGTTATTTGGGTTTGTTCAGTCTATCTCCGCAATGCCTAATACACAGAACTTACTGACTATCCTGTAATTACCAAATAGTGCCAAGACTGAAGGTGTTGTGGAAAATGCCCTGCACTTGCAGACGTTCATTTGGTAAACAAACAAATATGAATCTAATATACTTAGATGCTGATAAAAGCAATCCAGAAGGTTGTACTGTTATTTAAAAAGAAGGGATTTTTGTTTTTGTTTTTATTTTCTGTCCCTCTGAAGAGGAGCAGCATCAGCTCAGGAGTTTATTTCAGTACCAAGGGCCCGTCATCTCTTCCCATTTTCTACTTTTTCATGCTCAAGTTATCTTGCCACACTCGTTAAAGGTCTAATAAGGGAGGCAGTAAATGTTCAACAGATTATATTAACTTCCAGAATGCAACATATGCTATCTTGCCTCCATGACTTTCTTTCCTTTCTCTGAATTCACCTTCCTTGAAATCCCAAGAAATTCATGGTCATCCATCAAGTCTTATCTTCCTGGAGCTTTCTTCCATTCTCCTCCTCTGTCAGCCTATGGATCAGGTCATTCTAACCGGAGAGCATTATTCATTTTTATCTAGAGTCTCATCACTGAATGTTCTGTGTATCAGAATCCTATAATTGGGTCATCTTGGTAGAAGTGATCTGTTTTCTATATAAGTATTCTTTCAAACAGCATGATATAAGTAACTGATCATTCACAATGAGGGAATATATTCAGTTATTCATATCCAACAGTCAAGATAACATCATTGCTGGTTTGTTATACACACATTTCATTTCCTCAAACAACTTGAAATATTGTTTAATATTTTAATTAGCATCAAGCTTCAGACAAGTCAGACATCCTATCTGGATGACTGAACTCTAACCTGCTATACTATTCTCTACTTACACTTCCTTTCTTTAGTTTATTGCTTTTTGCTCTCTCTCTCTTTTAGTTGCTTTTCCACTCTGCTGCTAGGTTGAACTTGGCAAAATCCATATCTGAGAATGTAGCCCTCCTATCTAAAATCTTCTCATTATTCATTCATCATTGATTAAAGCTCTGCGTTTTCCCTCACACTACGTAACAGTCTTCATGATATATTTTCTATTTTTCTCTTCGTTTTTATCTCACATCAGCCACCCCCAAAGAGAAATCCCATCCTTTAGACAGACTGCTTTGTTCTGGGGAACACCACCACTTCAATCATCACTTGTGTTTTCACATAGCCTCCCAGTGCCCTGAGTTTGCCTGCCCACCTGGAGAAGTTCTCTTAAGACTTCCAGACACACTTCCAGATAACTTTATGCACACCGCTATTACAAACATGTAACCATACCAGATTACAACATTTACTTTGCTTTCTCTCCTGTTAAACTGCCAATTCCTTTTGAATAGTTTTGCCATACCGCACTAACTGGAGCATTATTTGATAGAATAAATGAATGAATATATGAATACATCAATGAATAAGTAAACAAATCAATTAACCCTGAGTTTGTCCTCAAGAATGAATTAAGTCGAGATGGAGAAATGGAGAAATAAATGATTTGTGAGTTTATAATTGATTTCTGTATGGGTCCATTTCTCTGCAATTTAGTTTTGTACTCAGAATGAGACGCGAGTTTCTAATTTCTCTTATAGTCTTTCTGGATAGGGCTGAATATTGATTGATTTTCATGCTGTCTCTTCACTGTTTCTTTTTACAATTTTTTTACTTAGCTTAAGATAATAAGAATTGATATTAGCTACCATTTATTGTTATTGTGCAAAGAGTGTCTTGCTGAGAATATTTAGACATCATCTTTAGTCCTTATAGAAATCATCCAAGGTGAATACTACTGTCCTCATGTTAACACAAGGAAACTATAACTAAAATAGGTCATGTATGTGTTCCCCCAAGTTCACAGAAGGAAAAGTTAAGGTTTGGACTCAAGTTTTATATATCTATTTTCTGTATTAAAACCTCTGCTGTATTACCCAATGCTGCCTGCCTACATAGTCCACCGTATTATGATAATTATTGGCATATTATCAAAGAATGATGACTTGAATCAGAAGAGGCTTCTCTACTGCCAAATTCTTATGAACTTTTCTTCTTTCCACTGAACAGTTTATAATAGTTTCTGGAATATAACATTTTCCACATGTACTATGTTAATGCTTTGGTGTAAAGTATTGATTATACAAATCATGACTGAGTTCATGAATATTCCACAAGAGAGATCAAATTCTCAGCTCAGATTATTTAATAAAATTCTGAATTCTCATCAAAATGTTCACTTTGTGGGAAGTCTTTTCTACTCTGTATTTGTTTCATAGATTCCTAGGGTTTTCGCAGATCAGATTGTGAGAGGTGAGTTCATTTTGTTTCCCAAGGATGAAGACATATATATTCCAATAACTTCCAACATCATTTGATCTTCTATTTGTTCATGCCAAATACACATCTACTTTTACCCTCAGTTTCTTGCAAAAATAGTACATATACCGTCTGATGTGGGTGAAAGAGATAGCTTGTTGATATTAATGTTTGTCTCAAAGAGGGATTATTATTGCTTTGCCATATAATGAGGTTCAAAGCTTAAATTTTAGGTTTATCATTTTTGTATCTTTGTCATTTACATGGATGGAGAATGTACCCACACTGTAATACATAGAAAATGACTAAGAAGAAAAAAGGCAGTGGCATTTAATCTTGTTAATAGAAGGGGAGAAGGTGATCATTTGTTTCTGTTTTTTTCTTGAACATATTTAAACTTGTTCTTTCACAATTTGTAGATAATGCATCTTAAATGTCAGCATTAACTTCTTACCACTATTTAAAGTTGTACAAACTCAAACTTGCTGTATTAAGAAGGTGACATGGGGGAAAAACCCAAATTTAGATAAATTTATAGATAATGCCTAAGCTATAATATTTGTTTGGTGTTTATTTTAACTGGAATATATATATATGTGTATATATGTGTGTGTGTGTATATATATATATACACACGTATATGCACACACAGAAACACACATGCCATTTTAGGTCTTCTGTTAACATAGGTTTTAGATATGCATGGATTCACAGAATTATATGAATGATATAATATGGTTTCATATGAATGATATGGGCTTATTAATAGTTCCTATTTAAAACTTACATGTATATGACATATTTACAGATACACTACTGAATACTTTTTATAAGAAATATTGAACTTCGTAATTTACAAAGTTCTTAGTTTTAGATGGTCATATAAATGTAGTCATTAATGTAAGGGTAATTCATATTGAAATCAGTCTCTTTTTCTGTTTTAATTAGTTATTTGTTTTTAAGAAAAAACATATTAGGATATAAGATTAACTATATTATTAGTTTAACATGACTTTGAAAGGTGAAGTTAAAAATACCAAGATACAGTGTATTCTTTCTTGGTAATCCCACACATCTCCACATCAGAGGAATACATCAATGACATTATGTTATTCCAGGATTTTTTAAATAATATATTCTTTCCTTTTGACTTATATATAAAAACAGTACATTATGAATCATGTAAGGCTGTGTAGCATGTAAGTCAAAGTGTGTCTATGATGATGGGAGGCTAGGCCAGAGCTCCAGGCTTTTCTAGTCCAACATACATATATTTTTGAGCAACAAGTAATGTGCAAAGTTCCCTACTAAAAATTACAGGGCTTCTAGGAGATATAAAACTTGGGAAGAAACTAATAATTATTGTATTTTTAAAAGAAAACCACAACCCAAATAATACAATTGTTATTAATATAGTAAAGTTTTAATCAACGTTTTGATTTGGAATCATTCAGTCATTTTCAGCATTGGACTTTAGCACTTGTTCTTCCTCTTGGAGGGCATTCTCTTATAGCCGTTTTTTCTCATTTTTAGCATGCCATTTTAATCAAAATTATAAACCTGATCTAGCTGTAGCCTTCTTCATTAATCCACTATCTGAGTCCATGTCTTTGTAGCCTGTATGATTAGAGCTCTCAGTTGTCACCTGTCCCTCAGTAACATGGAGGAAGCATAATCAATTGGAAGTTGCTAGATCAGCCACAACTCACCCTAAAAAAGTGCTTCCGTTGATTTTTAGCTTTTTTATTAAGGTTCCAATATATTGCTAAGACTTTTTCCTTACTTATAAGAAAATGTGGCTCTGATTTCCTCTAGACATTAATACCTTGGGAAAGGCTGTGTCTGCGCCACTATGACAGTGCATTATACTGACATAATCTCCCTGTTTTTCATCACATAGAAAACATGTCATACAAGATAAATCTATGTTGCACAAAACATGCTGCATCTTTGGGAATTAAAAGTGTTGAAAATTATATTGATACATATATGTTAATGTATAGGTTATATATATTTTAATTTATAAGGGCACACAAAAAAAGTCCATCTATATAACATGTAGTTTACACACTTCCTATGCTTTTATTTTTTCTTTTTTTATTAATATTATTATACTTTAAGTTTTAGGGTGCATGTGCACAACATGCAGGTTTCTTACATATGTATACATGTGCCATGTTGGTGTGCTGCACCCATTAACACGTCATTTAGCATTAGGTATATCTCCTAATGCTATCCCTCCCCCCTCCCCCCACCCCACAACAGGCCCTGGTGTGTGATGTTCCCCTTCCTGTGTCCATGTGTTCTCATTGTTCAATTCCCACCTATGAGTGAGAACATGCGGTGTTTGGTTTTTTGTCCTTGCGATAGTTTGCTGAGAATGATGGTTTCCAGCTTCATCCATGTCCCTACAAAGGACATGAACTCACCATTTTTTATGGCTGCATAGTATTCCATGGTGTATATGTGCCACATTTTCTTAATCCAGTCTATCGTTGTTGGACATTTAGGTTGGTTCCAAGTCATTGCTATTGTGAATAGTGCCGCTATGAACATACGTGTGCATGTGTCTTTATAGCAGCATGATTTATAATCCTTTGGGTATATACCCAGTAATGGGATGGCTGGGTCAAATGGTATTTCTAGTTCTAGATCCCTGAGGAATCGCCACACCGACTTCCACAATGGTTGAACTAGTTTACAGTCCCACCAACAGTGTAAAAGTGTTCCTATTTCTCCACATCCTCTCCAGCACCTGTTGTTTCCTGACTTTTTAATGATCGCCATTATAACTGGTGTGAGATGGTATCTCATTGTGGTTTTGATTTGCATTGCTCTGATGGCCAGTGATGATGAGCATTTTTTCATGTGTCTTTTGGCTGCATAAATGTCTTTTTTTGAGAAGTGTCTGTTCATGTCCTTCGCCCACTTTTTGATGGGGTTGTTTGTTTTTTTCTTGTAAATTTGTTTGAGTTCATTGTAGATTCTGGATATTAGCCCTTTGTCAGATGAGTAGGTTGCAAAAATTTTCTCCCATTCTGTAGGTTGCCTGTTCACTCTGACAGTAGTTTCTTTTGCTGTGCAGAAACTCTTTAGTTTAATTAGATCACATTTGTCAATTTTGGCTTTTGTTGCCATTGCTTTTGGTATTTTAGACATGAAGTCCTTGCCCATGCCTTTGTCCTGAATGGTGTTGCCTAGGTTTTCTTCTAGGGTTTTTATGGTTTTAGGTCTAACGTTTAAGTCTTTAATCCATCTTGAATTAATTTTTGTATAAGGTGTAAGGGAGGGATCCAGTTTCAGCTTTCTACATATGGCTAGCCAGTTTTCCCAGCATCATTTGTTAAATAGGGAATCCTTTCCCCATTGCTTGTTTTTGTCAGGTTTGTCAAAGATCAGATAGTTGTAGATATACGGCATTATTTCTGAGGCTCTGTTCTGTTCCATTGGTCTATATCTCTGTTTTGGTACGAGTACCATGCTGTTTTGGTTACTGTAGCCTTGTAGTATAGTTTGAAGTCAGGTAGCGTGATGCCTCCAGCTTTGTTCTTTTGGCTTAGGATTGACTTGGCAATGCGGGCTCTTTTTTGGTTCCATATGAACTTTAAAGTAGTTTTTTCCAATTCTGTGAAGAAAGTCATTGGTAGCTTGATGGGAATGGCATTGAATCTATAAATTACCTTGGGCAGTATGGCCATTTTCACGATATTGATTCTTCCTACCCATGAGCATGGAATGTTCTTCCATTTGTTTGTATCCTCTTTTATTTCCTTGAGCAGTGGTTTGTAGTTCTCCTTGAAGAGGTCCTTCACATCCCTTGTAAGTTGGATTCCTAGGTATTTTATTCTCTTTGAAACAATTGTGAATGGGAGTTCACTCATGATTTGGCTCTCTGTTTGTCTGTTATTGGTGTATAGGAAGGCTTGTGATTTTTGTACATTGATTTTGTATGCTGAGACTTTGCTGAAGTTGCTTATCAGCTTAAGGAGATTTTGGCCTGAGACGATGGGGTTTTCTAAATATATAATCATGTCATCTGCAAACAGGGACAATTTGACTTCCTCTTTTCCTAATTGAATACCCTTTATTCCTTTGTCGTGCCTGATTGCCCTGGCCAGAACTTCCAACACTATGTTGAATGGGAGTGGTGAGAGAACATACCTGTCTTGTGCCAGTTTTCAAAGGGAATACTTCCAGTTTTTGCCCATTCAGAATGATATTGGCTGTGGGTTTGTCATAAATAGCTCTTATTATTTGAGATACGTCTCATCTATACCTAGTTTATTAAGAGTTTTTAGCATGAAGCGCTAGTGAATTTTGTCAAAGGCCTTCTCTGCATCTATTGAGATAATAATGTGATTTTTATCTTTGGTTCTGTTTATATGCTGGATTACGTTTATTGATTTTCGTATGTTGAACCAGCCTTGCATCCCAGGGATGAAGCCCACTTGATCATGGTGGATAAGCTTTTTGATGTGCTGCTGGATTCGGTTTGCCAGTATTTTATTGAGGATTTTTGCATCAATGTTCTTCAAGGATATTGGTCTAAAATTCTCTTTTTTTGTAGTGTCTCTGCTCGGCTTTGGTATCAGGATGATGCTGGCCTCATAAAATGAGTTAGGGAGGATTCCCTCTTTTTCTATTGATTGGAATAGTTTCAGAAGGAATGGTACCAGCTCCTCCTTGTACCTCTGGTAGAATTCGGCTGTGAATCCATCTGGTCCTGGACTTTTTTTGGTTGGTAAGCTATTAATTATTGCTCCAATTTCGGAGCCTGTTATTGGTCTATTCAGAGATTCAACTTCTTCCTGGTTTAGTCTTGGGATAGTGTATGTGTCGAGGAATTTATCCATTTCTTCTAGATTTTCTATTTTATTTGCATAGAGGTGTTTATAGTATTCTCTGACGGTAGTTTGTATTTCTGTGGGATCAGTGGTGATATCCCCTTTGTCATTTTTTATTGTGTCTATTTGATTCTTCTCTCTTTTCTTCATTAGTCTTCCTAGCGGTCTATCAATTTTGTTGATCTTTTCAAAAAACCAGCTTCTGGATTCATTAATTTTTTGAAGGGTTTTTTGTGTCTCTATTTCTTTCAGTTCTGCTCTGATCTTAGTTATTTCTTGCCTTCTGCTAGCTTTTGAATGTGTTTGCTCTTGCTTTTCTAGTTCTTTTAATTGTGATGTTAGGGTGTCAATTTTAGATCTTTCCTGCTTTCTGTTGTGGGCATTTAGTGCTATAAATTTCCCTCTACACACTGCTTTGAATGTGTCCCAGAGATTCTGGTATATTGTGTCTTTGTTCTCATTGGTTTCAAGGAACATCTTTATTTCTGCCTTCATTTCGTTATGTACCCAGTAGTCATTCAGGAGCAGGTTGTTTAGTTTCCATGTAGTTGAGCGGTTTTGAGTGAGTTTCTTAATCCTGAGTTCTAGTTTGATTGCACTGTGGTCTGAGAGATAGTTTGTTATAATTTCTGTTCTGTTACATTTGCTGAAGAGTGCTTTACTTCCAACTATGTGGTCAATTTTGGAATAGGTGTGGTGTGGTGCTGAAAAGAATGTATATTCTGTTGATTTGGGGTGGAGAGTTCTGTAGATGTCTATTAGGTCTGCTTGGTGCAGAGCTGAGTTCAATTTCTGGATATCCTTGTTAACTTTCTGTCTCATTGATCTGTCTAATGTTGATAGTGGGCTGTTAAAGTGTCCCATTATTATTGTGTGGGATTCTAAGTCTCTTTGTAGGTCACTAAGGACTTGCTTTATGAATCTGGGTGCTCCTGTATTGGGTGTATATATATTTAGGATAGTTAGTTCTTCTTGTTGAATTGATCCCTTTACTATTATGTAATTTCCTTCTTTGTCTCTGTTGATCTTTGTTGGTTTAAAGTCTGTTTCATCTGAGACTAGGATTGCAACCCCTGTCTTTTTTTGTTTTCCATTTTCTTGGTAGATCTTCCTCCATCCCTTTATTTTGAGCCTATGTGTGTCTCTGCACGTGAGATGGGTTTTCTGAATACAGCACACTGATGGTTCTTGACTCTTTATCCAATTTGACAGTCTGTGCCTTTTAATTGGAGCATTTAGCCCATTGACATTTAAGGTTAGTATTGTTATGTGTGAATTTGATCCTGTCATTATGATGTTAGCTGGTTATTTTGCTCATTAGTTGATGCAGTTTCTTCCTAGTCTTCATGGTCTTTACAATTTGGCATGTTTTTGCAGTGGCTGGTACCGGTTGTTCCTTTCCATGTTTAGTGCTTCCTTCAGGAGCTCTTTTAGGGCAGGCCTGGTGGTGACAAAATCTCTCAGCATTTGCTTGTCTGTAAAGTGTTTTTTTCTCCTTCACGTATGAAGCTCAGTTTGGCTGGATATGAAATTCTGGGTTGAAAATGCTTTTCTTTAAGAATGTTAAATATTGGCCCCCACTATCTTCTGGCTTCTAGAGTTTCTGCCGAGAGATCCGCTGTTAGTCTGACAGGCTTCCCTTTGTGGGTAACCCGACCTTTCTCTCTGGCTGCCCTTAACATTTTTTCCTTCATTTCAACTTTGGTGAATCTGACAATTATGTGTCTTGGAGTTGCTCTTCTCGAGCAGTATCTTTGTGGCATTCTCTGTATTTCCTGAATCTGAATATTGGCCTTCCTTGCTAGATTGGGGAAGTTCTCCTGGATAATATCCTGCAGAGTGTTTTCCAACTTGGTTCCATTCTCCCCGTCACTTTCAGGTACACCAATCAGACGTAGATTTGGTCTTTTCACATAGTCCCATATTTCTTGGAGGCTTTGTTCATTTCTTTTTATTCTTTTTTCTCTAAACTTCTCTTCATGCTTCATTTCATTCATTTCGTCTTCTATCGCTGATACCCTTTCTTCCAGTTGATCGCATCGGTTACTGAGGCTTGTGCATTCGTCACGTAGTTCTCGTGCCTTGGTTTTCAGCTCCAACAGGTCCTTTAAGGACTTCTCTGCACTGGTTATTCTAGTTATCCTTTCATCTAATATTTTTTCAAAGTTTTTAACTTCTTTGCCACGGGTTCGAACTTCCTCCTTTAGCTCGGAGTAGTTTGATCTTCTGAACCCTTCCTCTCTCAACTTGTCAAAGTCATTCTCCATGCAGCTTCGTTCCGTTGCTGGTGAGGAACTGCGTTCCTTTGGAGGAGGAGAGGCGCTCTGGTTTTTAGAGTTTCTGGTTTTTCTGCTCTGTTTTTTCCCCATCTTTGTGGTTTTATCTACCTTTGTTCCTTGATGATGGTGATGTACAGATGGGTTTTTGGTGTGGATGTCCTTTCTGTTTGTTAGTTTTCCTTCTAACAGTCAGGACCCTCAGCTGCAGGTCTGTCGGAGTTTACTGGAGGTCCACTCCAGACCCTGTTTGCCTGGGTATCAGCAGTGGTGGCTGCAGAACAGTGGATACTGGTGAACCGCAAATGCTGCTGCCTGATTGTTCCTCTGGAAGTTTTGTCTCACAGGAGTACCCGGCTATGTGAGGTGTCAGTCTGCCCCTTCTGGGGAGTGCCTCCCAGTTAGGCTACTCGGGGGTCAGGGACCCACTTGAGGAGGCAGTCTGCCTGTTCTCAGATCTCAAGCTGCATGCTGGGAAAACTACTACTCTCTTCAAAGCTGTCAGACAGGGACATTTAAGTCTGCAGAGGTTATTGCTGTCTTTTGTTTGTCTGTGCCCTGCCCCCAGAGGTGGAGCCTACAGAGGCAGGCAGGCCTCCTTGAGCTGTGGTGGGCTCCACCCAGTTGGAGCTTCTGGGCTGCTTTGTTTATCTACTCAAGCCTCAGCAATGGCAGGCGCCCCTCCCCCAGCCTCACTGCCACCTTGCAGTTTGATCTCAGACTGCTGTGCTAGCAATCAGCGAGGCTCGGTGGGCTTAGGACCCTCCCAGCCAGGTGTGGGGTATAATCTCCTGGTGCACCGTTTGTGAAGCCTGTTGGAAAAGCAAAGTATTAGGGTGGGAGTGACCCGATTTTCCAGGTGCCATCTGTCACCCCTTTCTTTGACTAGGAAAGGGAATTCCCTGACCCCTTGCGCTTCCCGGGTGAGGCGATGCCTCGCCCTGCTTTGGCTCACACAGGGTGCGCTGTACCCACTGTCCTGCACCCACTGTCTGGCACTCCCCAGTGAGATGAACCCAGTACCTCAGCTGGAAATGCAGAAATCACCCGTCTTCTGCGTGGCTCAGGCAGGGAGCTGTAGACTGGAGCTGTTCCTATTCGGCCATCTTGGCTCCCATTTTTTTTTTTTTTTTGAGACGCAGTCTCACTCCTGTCGCCCAGGCTGGAGTGCAGTGGTGCAATCTTGGCTCACTGCAACCTCTGCCTCCTGGGTTCAAGCTATTCTCCTGCTTCAGCCTCCCGAGTAGCTAGGATTACAGGTGCCCGTCACCACACCTGGCTAATTTTTGTACTTTTAGTGGAGATGGGCTTTTGCCACGTTGGCCTGACTGGTCTCAAACTCCTGACCTCAGGTGGTCCGCCTGCATTGGCCTCCCAAAGTGCTGGGATTACAGGTGTGAGCCGCCGCGCCCGGCACTTCCTGTGCTTTCATAAGAACTTGTACTCTCACCGCATTATGATTACAACAGGGCAGATATTCTAATCCCCGTTTTTGCAGGTGAGAACCCTTGAGGGACAGAACTGATGAGCAATATGCCTCATGTTGGACAACTACTAAGAAGTGAAAACTCAGCAACAATGTGCCATACAAGCTTTTATTACTTTTCCCTAAGAAAAAATTCTAGGGATAAAGGAATTTAAAATACGTGGTGTAAATTCAGAAAAAGACCCATAATTAGAGCTTAATAAATAAAAGAGATTTTTTAACACCTTAAATTTATAATCTTATTCTGGCTAAGAATTCCAATTTCCTTTTGCCTTGAGGATATAATTGCTTATATGCCAAAGGTATAAGTGAATATTTTGTTGAGGTCAACTTTTATAATTGTGTTCTCTCAAAAAACTGGTGTTATTTGTCTATCTATGGTTTATAATTTCTTTACCGCTATATGTCGGTTTACTAAGTTGCAAGATGGTTCTGCCACTGCCTGCTTATACTTAGTACTATAATCATTATTATTCCTATTTAACTGATGCAAAAACTCAGCTAAGGTGTAAAATTCCCTATGTTTATATAACCACACTTTCCAGTTGATAAATGGATTTTTAGAATGCAGGTAAAGGATTATATAGTTAGAAAACCAGTATTGTATCACCACCATACATTACTGAAGGTGTCATGATGCCCTACCAAGGATGAAATACAGGTTGAAAGTTAGTAATAATTAGCATCCATTCCTGTATTATCAACCCATTGCACACATATGTATCCTTCGATATGTAGCCTATATGTATTGTCAGCCTCAGTACGTACTCACTACATTCCCATGCTGAATTGCCCTCTCCTTGAAAAAATACAGAAATTTAAGTTTGTTGTGGAGATTGTCACCTGCTTCTTTTTTAAAGATACACACACTTTGTTCTATTTTTTATCTAAATTGCCCCCCCACCCCCAGTTCCTGAAGCAAGCATGTAGAATATTTTCCATGATCATATCCAAAGTGGACCTGCTGCATAGGAGAGTCACATTGCAGTTATGTGCACGTGAAAACTGAGATAAATTCTCCTGTCTTTGGTGTGTTTATAAAATGTGCTAAGCTTTCTTTTAACCATGAATAATTTAGGTATGACCCTTTCTAAGTGCAAGAGAATAGATCAAATGCTATCCTAGCTCTGTGATGATATAGCTATTCCCAGCAACTGAAAGAAAAGATCATCAAAGCCTCTTACCTTTCTACTTACTCACTCACACTGTTAGAAATTATCTCAAATGAAAATTGGCCAAAGGATAAGAATTAATGTACTAAGACTTTGACAGCAAATATCATTAGGAGATTGTACATTCCTTCTATTTTATTGAACAATTTCTGGCTAGGAGATGTCCCTGAGGTCCTTTTCTATTGGTTGTATTCTTATATTTTCATGTGCTGTCCAAGATGTTTATCCTGAGGTTAATTTTGTGTGGATAATGCTAACAGTCCATTTCTGAGTTTTAGAGCTGGCTCATTAATATCTATGCTGTTCAGTGTTTCAACTTGTGTAACAATAAGGCTTTCAGTTTTTGGATTTGTACTACAGTACGCGTAACTGCAGTTAAACAACTGGACTCTGTTTTTTCTTCATTACTCTCATGATGGTCATTATGCAGTTTTTGCATCAGGCTAAGGAGACAATCTCTGGCTTTCATTCAAGATAAAGAGCAAAATAGTATCAAATTCCCTTCAAGACAAGGAAGAGTGCCTTTGGCCGATAATAGTTCATCATGACATAAGGAAAACTATTTCATTAAAAATAGAAGAGAGAAAAAAGGGACAAGTAGGAGGAAGGCTAGGGGAGAGATCCAAAAAAAGATTCAATTTTATTAATGCAAAATACCCAAACTTGGAGATCAAGAAAAAAAAAAACATTAAAACATCAAATATATGTTTGGGTTTTTTTTAATTCTTTAAAAACACGAAAAATTCTGATTGAGGAAAAACATTAAATGCATTTTTCAGGTTTATCTGAAGTCACAGATAACAATGTTAATGAACAGACCCACATATGAATAAGTGAAAAGACTTAAGAATGTTTTCTTTAAAATCAAACTATAACTGAGTTCAGAGGCACTCTGGATTTTAGCAATTTAAAAGCAATCACTGCTACTAATCTAACTATGAAGAAGCTCGTAAGATACCTTTAACATATGGATAATAAAATTGCAAAAGTGCCAGACACGTGTTCGAGAGATACACGCTGAGCAGCATATACGTGTGCGAAAGGCACAATATTTCTTTTCCATTTGTATGGCCGTGTAACTATAATTCAAGCCAGCGAAGATTTATTTATGTGACATAAAGACTACTAGAATAATAAAGAGATTTTTAAATTATGTGTATTTGTGCAAATAGACTAGAGGTCAAGAATACTTCGATGACATAAAACCACCTTCCCTGAGAAACGATGTTCTTGAATGAGAGTGCAGGAATTATTGATGCAGAGTTGCATAGAGATAGTCAGATTTGGGTGGCTCAGCTTCTACAAGAGGAATGGAAGGTGTAAGGTCAAGTCCCAAAGTGTTGTCCAGAACTAGGTTAATAATATTGAACACCTATACCAAGGACCAGGCACTTTACGCAGCTACATATAGAATCTCATTTAATCCCTGCCATAACTCTACTGGGTAGATGCTATTATCACCCTCTATACCAAATTAAAAGCAAACGTAGGCATAAGTGTCTAAAGCCACTGGACCTGGGCTCAACTCAGTTTGATTTGATCCCCATATCACCTGTACCTTTTCACAGTGACATGCTTACTTCTTTATAAAGTCTAGGTCATGAATGCAGGCAACCTTTCTGAAGGTTTGACAATGGACAAAGTCTGAGAATAAAAATAGATGAGTACAAGTGATTTGGAGGTTAGTACAATTTGAGAATTTAATTTATGAACAGAATTTTTTATACATTATCAGGTAGCCTTCATCATAATCACCGCCAGAAAGAAAAATCTTAGAACTAGGAGATAGGGTCTTGGTAGCGGCATGAACAACCTTGATCGAATCAACTGCTTTCCTGGTTATGACTTATAAAAAAAGGAATTCAACCAAAAGCTACACTGTAAATAAACTAGGGTGAGGAATTTGAAGATTATCTTAACAATATCCCTAATGGAAGAAGATGGGAATGTGGACAAGAAACAGTTCTCTGGTAGGAAAAAAATAATGTAATTCCTTACATGATGAAGTAAATACAGTGTATGAGAAAATTCATTCAGCCATTCTTCATGTAGGAAAATCCATCTATGAGAAGAAATTTAAAAATAATAAAGAGATAAATAGAAGGAATTGGCCCAAGAGGCCCTTAGCCAATATGTGGATCTATGTGTACATACTGCTTGAAAGAGGGCAAACTTCATTATACTTTAGATACACATATGCTGCAACTAAATCATCATGGATTATAAATCTCTATAAAGTAAATTTTTAATTAAACCAAGGCAAATATTGTTTAAAGCTGCTATCCTATGTTAATCTCATATTCTACCTGAAATGAATTGTCATGAAGAATAAAATGGAAGCATAGATAGTTGATTATGCTTCAGAATATAAGGTAATATTGTTCTTTGCATATTGTTTCCTTTTCCTTACCTTGATTTTTATTCTGTTCTTTACTCCTCCTTTCACATTCTTTTTAAATTCATAATACCTACAATTAAATTGCAACCCTTGGTTCTCAAGGATTCTAGCTTTCAAACAGGTACTCGTGCAACTGAGCGAACCTGTTGTAGGCCTAGAAAGAGCAATGAACTGAGATGACTATAAAGCAGTTCTCTCTATGTCCCCTCTTTCCACTGCCCCAGTGGACACAGGTAAGCAGCTGACAAATTCTGCCATGCTTTCAACTGGTCGTCAGAAGTCCTCTCGTTAGAATAATATTCTTCCTTCCATTTATTATAACTAAAGCTTTACTGATAAGGATAAGAGCTTTCAAAAATGTACTTTTAATGGGGTGCGGTGGCTCACGCCTGTAATCCCAGCACTTTGGGAGGCCGAGGCAGGCGGATCACGAGGTCAGGAGATCGAGACCATCCTGGCTAACATGGTGAAACCTCATCTCTACTAAAAATACAAAAAATTAGCCAGGCATGGTGGCGGGAGCCTGTAGTCCCAGCTACTTGGGAGGCTGAGGCAGGAGAATTGCTGAACCCGGGAGGCGGATCTGGCAGTGAGCCGAGATCGCACCACTGCACTCCAGCCTGGGCGACAGAGCGAGACTCCATCTCGAAAAAAAAAAAAAAGTACTGCCCTGATAATTTGTGATCTTAACTATTTACCACCAAATATTACTTAACAATGAAAACAATAAATAAAAATAAAAAAACCAATTAATTCCTCAAGGTACCTCAGCAGATTGGTAATGAAATCAAGGACTAAAACCTTAGTCTTCTGTATATAAATTCAACCCTCTTTTTAGAATTTAATTGAAACACTTTGTGAACCCGATCAAACATGTAGTTTGAACAAATCTCTATACTTTAATCCAGTTTTGGTATAAATGATGTTTTTTATGTCATAAAGAGGTGACTTGTTCTGTCATTTAAAAAATCTATTGAGTATTGTTTGTTTTATTCCATTTTTTCTATATTTTATTATATTGTGAACTCATCCATACAGACACATTCAGTGTTGAAGGTATTGAAAGAGATGAGGATTCTGCCCTCAAAGACCTTAACTTCTAAGAAAAGTTTGCAGTCTTAATTTGATTCTGCTACTTGTGTTAGGAAATAGACAAGTGTCATATTGCTATGACCTTTTCACTGCTTAAAACAGATGGAATTGTTCTTTTCACCGCAACTTTCAACAAAGTTGTATGTCCCCACTCTCAACCTTGAAACACCCTTCTTACTGTGAATCCCCAAAGATTTCTGAGACAGAGATAAAAAAGCAAAATTGTGTAGAAGGCAAATGAGGGAGACACTCAGAAAGAAACAAAAATAACTAAATCAATTGGAGCTCAGCAATCTTGCACAGCCAATACACACATGAGTCGTGGTACCCATTTATTATAAGATAGATGATTTGTCTTTAGTACATTCTGTGTGGTTATCCCTAGCACCAAATGTTTTGCTATTCCTATTTTACTGAATAAGCACTCTTTGCTTAGCTTTATTTATAAGTCTAGTATTTTCTGCTCAACACTTTGTGAACAAGTAATGTCCCTCATTTTCCTGCACATGCCTGATTTGTTCCTTATAATGCCAATGATTAGCATCATAATCCATGTTCTTTTAAGTGTATGTTGAAATAGATATGCCTATATTGTGCACCAAAGAAAAAGAAACAACACCCAATTAGATCACAGAAATGGGTTCAAAAATCTTTGGTTCATAATGAATTGATACCACTTCGTGATCTAACATTTAAACCTTGGAAAGACTAGGTTAAAGTTTAAAATGGCAATTAAGAGAAGAGAGCAAAAGAGTGAAATTGTAGTTTTCTTCTATGAGTGTAGCAATAATGAGTAAAGGATTGAAGGATTTGTTTTAAAAAACCTGTTGCCATTTACTAATTGTGAGTTTGAAAACTGTGCCTTATTTTAAACTCTATCTTAAAATAATTTACTTGCCTGCCATAAAATGTCTGACTTATTTACATTTTAACTAAACATATCTTAGCTGGGAACTTCTGAAATCGCTGTGAACAAGGCAATGTGTCATACGTAGATTGGAAAGTTATATCTTTTAAATAAACAAAACATCTTATGTTGCCTTAGCACTGCTGCCAGAGTTTATAAAGGTGAACAATCCTGCCTTAAAAGTTAAGGACACTCTGGTGATCACTCCAAGGGTCTGTTGATTGCACTTTTTTTATATCCTTGTAAGGCTTTAGATTTCATTGGTCCATCTAGAAAATGGGATTACCTCTGACATAAGAGCTCATATTACATAGCAATTATGCTTTATCCATAGATATTGTGCATTTAATTACTGTACAACTAGCCGAAATTCTTTATATAGTTCTCCATTTTTAAGTGTAACTCAAAGAAATATGCTCAACATAAGCAAAATTTTCTTCAAGTAAAAGAATAAAAAACAGTTGTTATTGTCCTATAAATCTAATCATGGTTTTGTTCATTATACTTCATAAAGTATTTTCAAATGCCTTATGCCATTAATGCTTACAAAATGTCTTTGAGGAAAATATGGTAGTATTGGCCATCATTATAGACACAGACTGAGTCCTAGTGTTTCAGTTATTTTTGCCTATGTTGGTAGTAAAGTTGAGATTCAACCTTGGTATTTTTACTCAGCTTAGTATTCAAAGGTGAAGTTAATCTTTGGTACCTGTTCTCTGTGAATCAAAATATTTGCAATAAATCCACAAGCTTCAAAATGCAGTATCTTTATGTAAACTCAAGTCTTTTTAAGGCCTTTCCATTTTAAACTTCATCTATTTTCCCTGAAGAAGGTCTACTTCAACAAGCATTGGCTGTGTCCTATGCATACTAGAAATTATGCTAGGCATGATTCGTGCTAGTTCTCAAATGTTAAACAAGCTGTATCAGGATCAACTGGGCAACTGAAACAAACAAACAAACAAACAAACAAAAAACAGCAATTCCAGGCTTACTTCTGAATGAAGACATCAGACTTCTAGGTTACAGCATGGGGATATGGGTAGTAATAAATTTCAAATGATCTGATCAAGAGCCAAGGTTGCATAAATTAAAATACATTTAAAAAGAAAATATAAAAGAAAAGAGAAAATATCTAGGTGGCAAACACTGTGGAAAGACAAGGCATATTTTGATTTGAATCACTGAAAATCACATTAAATGAGTGATTTAGAAAAGAATGGAGGAGAGTTGTGATTCATTAATTTCTATGGCACAGTTTATTTACGGTGTTTCTTTATTTATAATACATCTCATAATCCACATAATAGAAAACTTACTCCCAAAAAGATTTACTAAACTTTGGAAATATGGAGTACATGACATAATGGATCTTAAGTGCTTAGACCACAGAAGGCATTTATATTAGTTTGCTAGGACCACCATAACTAAATATCTCTGACTGGATATCTTTTTTTTTTTTTTTTTTTTTTTTTTTTTGAGACGGAGTCTCGCTCTGTCGCCCAGGCCGGACTGCGGACTGCAGTGGCGCAATCTCGGCTCACTGCAAGCTCCGCTTCCCGGGTTCACGCCATTCTCCTGCCTCAGCCTCCCGAGTAGCTGGGACTACAGGCGCCCGCCACCGCGCCCGGCTAATTTTTTGTATTTTTAGTAGAGACGGGGTTTCACCTTGTTAGCCAGGATGGTCTCGATCTCCTGACCTCATGATCCACCCGCCTCGGCCTGACTGGATATCTTAAACAATGGAAATTAATTTTCTCACAGCGCTGAAGGCTAGAAGTCAAAGATCAATGTGCCAGCAGGATTGGTTATTTCTGAGGGCTCTCCTTGGGTTGCAGACGACCGCCCTCTTTGCGCCTCTTCATATGGTAGTCCCACTGTAACTGTGCACCTCTAGAGTCTTTTGTGTGTGCAAATTTCCTCTTCTTTAATGGGCACCAGTCAGATTGAATTAGGGCCCACCTTTGTGGTTTCATTTTAACTTAGTTACCTTTTTAAAGGACCTATCTCCAAATATAGTCACAATCTAAGCAACTGGGTGTTAGGGATTCAACATATAAATTTTGGAGAACATAATTCAGCCCCTAACAGCTTTTAATAAATTTTAGTTGCTCTGTGTTTTGTCTGATTCTCTACTTACTTCTTTATGTCACTTACAGGATTCCACACAACCCCTGTATCTGCTCAGTTTCATTTGTTGCTGAAAGGTTATTTGCTGTAGGAAATCTGATAACTTGAAAGCTTGTTATTGGAGATGATTTGTGTATTTGGGGCTTCTAGATAAACATTCACATAAAGAGGAAGGCGGGAGAGTTTGGTGTTTTTACCTTGAAGAGTGAGTAGGCTGGGAATTTCTCACAGGTTGCCCAACTAACAATGGAGATCCTTTCAGGGTTGGATGTTTAAATGGTCTGTAAATCTATCACATGCACAACTTCCTATTGGAACTATATCTAGGTATGGACCTAGATATTCTATGTGATTGTTTCAGAGTCTGATTTTTTACTTTTTCTGTATTCTAGAAAATTAACTAATAAATATTTTAAGCTGACATTTTAAAATTGTACCTTCTTTTCCCTGTGGAAAGAACATTCATGCTTTATTATTTATGTGTCTTTCTTTCCTTCTAGCTTTCAAGTTTTTCAAACATATATATCTATGCTTCTTTCTGCTGTCAACTTTAGTGATAAAAAAGAATTTTTCTCACTGCTTGTTTAAATTTTCTTCAGTGAGAATTCCACCACAGAAACAAACAAACAAAACAATTCAGGAAATACTAATGCAGTTTTTTTTTTAAGTTTAACATTATGTATGGTTGTACATTTCCTGTTAAATTATTATCAACTTTTCATAACTGGTTCTGCCCTTCAGCCCTTGGAAGCCATTTGCAAGACATTTCTAAAACACTATGGAAGAAATCCAGTAAAGATAGACTTGTCTACCAACTTGACAGTCATTCTTTAGAAATGCCTTTGGGAGAGTATCATCCATTTTCTTCATTTTTCCCCATTGAGAAATGAGCTAAACTAATTTCTACTGCAATGTTAACTCATACTTTCATTTCATTCAGGGAACTTTTCAATTACAGTTTTACAAAGGAAAATACAATTTTACGAAGGAAAATTGTAATTTTACCTTCAGGTTTATTATCAAGAATTAACAGAAATTTTAATAGCCAGCACAGTTCTTTCCCATTACTTAACTTGTGAGTATGAAAGGTAAAATTTCTACCAGATTTTCAGTTGCTCTTGTTTTGGTCCAATATGTTGGTATTTGCAGGGATGAAGAACCAGGAGGCCAGCTGGTTACAGATAAGTTCCATATTGACTGGGATTCCGTACTCATTGACATGGATAATGTCATTGTAGCAAGATTTGATGGCAGAGGAAGTGGATTCCAGGGTCTGAAAATTTTGCAGGAGATTCATCGAAGATTAGGTTCAGTAGAAGTAAAGGACCAAATAACAGCTGTGAAGTAAGTGGATGCACATTTTTCTTCTCTGTTTTCTATAATGACAGAGTCTTGGTATATGACATATAATATTACTAACCCTGACTCAAGGCTTCTATTTTAGTGATTGAGCAATTTTGTAAGTTAATCATAAAGCCTATTTCATTTTTTTTTTGAAGTACCTGTCACCCTTAGTGCTATAATAAAAGAATTCTCATATTTCCCCTCTGGAATTAAAATTTACTTTGGATTTATGGAAGTTGGATACATTTTAATTATACCACTATATTATTTGTTTACAGGAATCCACAATGTCTGTTGTATCCTCAGTTAATCACAATTCTTGAAGTTTCACAGATACCATTATCACACTGGCATGAATGTGTGACCTAAGAAAGTTAGTGGGTTCTTTATAATAGCACACAGAAACCAGATATGATATTGTTCAAATGTAGATGTTGATTCAGTAGGCCTGGAATGGGGCCCAGGCTTCTGCATTTATAACAAGCTTTCAGGTGATACCAAACTACTAGGCCATCACTTTGAGTAGCAAGATTTTGGAGTATATGACCCTAATACATGAACAGAGCTACAGTTAGTAAAGCATTTCTAGTCATTAGCTATTGTTTTGTATGTATGCATGCCAACTATATATTTATATTTGCATTTAACTCACAAAGATATAACTATTGTTTTTCGTTTTCATTGCAGATTTTTGCTGAAACTGCCTTACATTGACTCCAAAAGATTAAGCATTTTTGGAAAGGTAAATAGTAGAAATGCTGAATCTATCTTTTTATGCGTATCTATGTTATGTAATATCCTATTACACATTCACAGGAGGCCAGTTGGTTACAGATAAGTTCCATATTGACTGGGATTCCATACTTATTAACATGGAAAACCTCACTGTAGCAAGATTTGATGGCAGAGGAAGTGGATTCCAGAGTCTGAAATGTATATATATAATATATGTATATATACATACATATATGTATTATTTGTATGTATACATATGTAATTACATGCTTCATTATATTATAATTCCTCTGTATTATCCTTTAAAAAATAACATAATTAGTATTATATACAGTCAGTCATTTATTAATTCAGTAACTATTTATTGGGCAGTTAGTTGGCACCTGGTGTCAGAAGTAGAACAACAACAGGACAAAATGGGGCTTTGTTTTCATGAAGCTTGTGTTCCAGAGAGGGGAAACAGTAAAGAGGTAAATGAAAAACACAATTTCATATAGTAATAAGCCTCATAAAGAAAACAAAGAAAAACTGATACATAAAAGCTAACTGCAGAAGCGCGGCCAGTGTCATTAGATTGAGTGGTCAATTTAGGACTCTCTGATGAGGTTATATTTAAACCTATACCTAAATAACAAATGGACGCTGGTCAAATAAATCTCTTGAAGCAGAATATTCTCCACAGAAAAAAACTAGCAAGTATCGCAATCTTAGGAAAACAGACACAGGCTTAGAAACTAGGAAATGACCAGTGTGCATAATTACGTCATCTGTGCTCTCTGCACGATATTTACTTATTGCAGTAACTGTTATGTCAGGTTCAACATTATTTTGACAGTGGGAAAATAGACCTCATATAGATATTTATTAGTTTGTTTTTTATTTTTGTTTTTTGTTTTGTTTTTTTTTTTTTTTTGAGACGGAGTCTCACTCTGTTGCCAGGCTGGAGTGCAGTGGCGCGATCTGGGCTCACTGCAACCTCCACCTCCCAGGTTCAAGCGATTCTCCTGCATCAGCCTCCTGAGTAGCTGGGGACTACAAGCACGTGTCACCACGCCCAGCTAATTTTTGTATTTTTAGTAGAGACGGGGTTTCACCATGTTGGCCAGATGGTCTCGATCTCTTGACCTCGTGATCCGCCTGCCTTGGCCTCCCAAAGTGCTGGGATTACAGGTGTGAGCCACCGTGCCCAGCCTATTGAGCTTGTTTTTAACACATCAGTGGACAATGTATTATAAAGGTAAAAAGGCCAGGCGCGGTGGCTCACGCCTGTAATCCCAGCACTTTGGGAGGCCAAGGCGGGAGGATCATGAGGTCAGGAGATAGAGGCCATCTTGGCTAACACGGTGAAACCCCGTCTCTACTAAAACTACTAAAAATTACCCGGGCGTGGTGGCGGGCGCCTGTAGTCCCAGCTACTCGGGAAGCTGAGGCAGGAGAATGGCTGATCCCGGGAGGCAGAGTTTGAAGTGAGCCGAGATCGAGCCACCGCACTCCAGCCTGGGCGACAGAGCGAGACTCCGTCTCAAAATAAAATAAAATAAAAAGATGAAAGGAAAAGGGGGACCTTGAACTATTTTAGTTTACAAATAAAGCAAATTCTTGGTGTTCATGGATTTAAACATATGATATTTTCTACTATTCATAAGTAACCTAGAGATCCATGACATAAAATAACTGGTAAGTTTAATTGGGGCGTAAATTTTAGTGGTACATACTGACAGGTGGGTGTATAAAAAACCACTTAAGAAATGAGTAAAATACAAATCAGTGCAAATCACGACCATCCTCTCTCCACTTCAAACATCTGCAGTGTATCATGCCTTTGCAGCATTCTACACTTGTTGTCAGCAATATTCAACAGATAAGTAAAAATATTTTGTGAGCATTGCTCCTCCAACATAACACAAAGAAGTAAATAACTGAAAGTGCATCCCTAGTAGTAAAGGTTAGTTTTTTGTTTTTTTTTTTAAAGGAAAACATCTAAGAAAGTGATCATCCCAAAGAAATGGAAACCCTAGATATATTAAAAAGTGAAATGAAATCCTGTCTCAGACTGCAGCACTGTTAAGCCTTAGGGACATTGTGCTAGGTGAAGATAGCCAGTCACAGAAGGACAAATACTGTATAATTCTACTTATTACATGAGGTGTCTAGAGTGGTTGAGTTCATGAAAAAAAAGAGTGAAATGGTTGTTGCCAGGATTTGAGGGGAGAGGAAAAAGGGAAGCTGGTTTTTAATGGATATATAATAATGGCAAGAATGTAAACTAGTAAAGTAAAAAACAAAGATAAATAGAGAACAACCAAGCCAGAAAATACAGTTCATTGAAAAAAAAGAGAGGGATGGAGGGGTGACAAAAAGGGAGAGCAAGAGCAGTAAAGGAAGAATGTGAGTGCAAATGAGAGCAAGGTGCTCTTTAGTGATTAGCCATTTTATGAGCCCATCAGTTTCTTATTAGGGTTCTTGGAATTTTTGTCTAGTTTCATATTTGCAAGATGAAAAAGTTCTGGAAATCTGTTTCACAGAAACAAATATATACCTGACACTACGAAACTGTGTGTTTAAAAGTAGTTAATAGAGTAAATTTTATATGTTTTACCACATACAAAAAAGTACATGCAGTAGGGAATATTTTACTCCTTAAAAGTCCTGATACATGTAATAATTTACAAATGGCTTAGGGCCTATGTATTTCAATGCTCTGCTTACTGTACACATAAATAAGCATAAAGGACCAAATAAGCTTTTACAAACATTCATGGAAATTTAGAGAAGATTCAAAGGGTTGTAAAATGCCTCATGGAAAAGGGCAACATGAGCTGAGTGGTGATCAGCAGGTAGAGGGGAAGGAAAAGAGTCTCATGCAAATGCACAGTGTCAGTGAAGGGAGCATGTGTGGAGAACATGAAATGAAGTAGTTGACTGTTATTAGAAGAATGATAGGCAATAAGAATGAGAGGAAGACTGGGCCGAGACGATAGAGGATCTTCATTGCCACTGAGAAATTAGAAGCTCAGCATATAAACCATGGAAAAATAACACTCTAGGCTTCACATTTAGAAGTTCAAATTCTTTTTCCCCAAATCGTCATTGTATACTTGATGTGCCTCAGAGCAAATGACTCTGGAAAACTAAAAGAGTGACATAGGATACAAACAAGTAAAAATATGAATGACTTCATCTTAAATGGAAAAAATATTCCAGGTCAAACAAATATGCATATCTGTGACTGAGTTATAAATTAAAAGTTGACTTTCTCACCATGTAAAATACACTGTTTATCCTAAGATTCCGTAGACCTTGCGATTCTTTTTTCTTGAAATGCACTGATTTCAGATTCAAATTAGGTTATGCTAACCTCATAAAACGGGTTGGAAAACAATGTTCTTGCTATACTGATTCCCTGGAAAAATTTGTTTAAAATTGGAACTAGACTATAAAGAAATTTGGAGCTATTGCTTTCTGTGTGGGATTAAACATTTAATTAGTTTTTAAATTTATGTAACCAATAGAAGACTATTAAGATTTTGTTTAATTTCTTCTGAGGTCACCTTTAGTACTTTGAAAAGAATATTTTTTCACTTCATATAACTTTTCAAGAATATATACAAACAGCAATATATAATATCCTCTTATTATATGCTTAATCATTTCACTTGTGGCAGTAATATCCCATTTTGATTTCTATTATGACTTACTAGTGCCTTCTTGCTTTTGCTAGGGCACTCTCTTGCTCTCATTTGCACTCATGTTCTTCCTTTATTGCTCTTGCTCTCCCTTTTTGTCTCTCCTCCATCCCTCTTTTTTTTGTTCAGTGAACTGTATTTTCTGGCTGGTTGTTCTCTATTTATCTTTGATTTTACTTTGCTAGTTTACCTTCTTGCCATTATTATTTTTCTTCTACTTTTTATATACATTTTTTCATCAATTATTAAGTTGAATGTCTAGCTTATTAATTTTTCATTCTTTCTTTCAAATACAAGCACTTAGGCTGGGTTTGGTGGCTCACACCTGTAATCCCAGCACCTTGGGAGGCCGAGGTGGGCGGATCGCCTGAGGTTGGGAGTTCGAGACCATCCTGACCAACATGGAGAAACCCCTGTCTCTACTAAAAATACAAAACTAGCCGGGCATGGTGGCACATGCCTGTAATCCCAGCTACCTGGGAGGCTGAGGCAGGAGAATCGCTTGAACCCAGGAGGCGGAGATTGTGGTGAGCCGAGATCGGACCATTGCACTCCAGCCTGGGCAACAAGAGCGAAACTCTGTCTCAAAACAAAACAAAAAACAAATATAAGCATTTAAATTAAAAATCCTTTTGAGATGCTCTCTGAGGTATTTTTCACTACTACAGAGTACTTTTATTACCATATAGTGAAAATATCTATTTGTCAGGATAAGTCTATGTCTTCTGAACTTTTCTTATTATTTTTATGTCAAATTGAATGAAATAATTTTTTGGTACTTTTCTGTAACTTACTGACTATAATTGAACTGTGGCCAAAGAATTGATCAGGATAACAAAAATACTTTGAAATATCAATTGATTTATGAGTTAGGGAGGGAATCATTGTTTTATCTTTATCAATTATTTAATTTTGTGTAATTAATTTTCTTATTTTACTTGATCCTGATTAGCCATTTTATGAGCCTATCAGTTTCTTATTAGAGTTCTTGGAATTTTTGTTTAGTGAATTGATTTTTTTTTCTTTTTTTTTTTTATTTCAACAGAGGTTTGAGGACTAGGTGGTGTTTACTTACATGAATAAGTTCTTTAGTGGTGATTTCTGAGATTTAGGTGCACCCATCAGCAGAGAAGTGTATTGTACCCAGTGTGTAGTCTTTCATCCCTTACCCACCTCTCACTTTTTCCCTCCAAGTCCCCAAAGTCCATTGCATCATTCTTGTGCCTTTGCATCCTCATAGCTTAGCTTCCACTTATGAGTGAGAATATATTATGTTTGGTTTTCCATTCCTGAGTTACTCCACTTAGAATAATGGTCTCCAATTCCATCCAGGTTGATGTGAATGCCATTGTTTCATTCCTTTTTATGGCTGAGTAGTATTCCATGGTGTATGTGTGTGTGTGTGTGTGTGTGTGTGTGTGTGTGTGTATCTCACAATTTCTTTATCCACTTGTTGATTGATGGGCATGTGGGCTGCTTCCATATTTTTTGCAATTATGAATTTTACTGCTATAAACATGCATATGCAAGTATCTTTTTCATATAATGACTTCTTTTCCTCTGGGTAGATACCCAATAGTGGGATTGCTAGATCAAATGGTAGTTCTACTTTTAGTTCTTTAAGGAATCTCCACACTGTTTTCCGTAGTGGTTGTACTAGTTTACATTTTTAAAACTTCCATGTGTGCCTAAAAGTGTTAGTGTTACATATATGTCCATTTAATCAAACATATCCATTTTGATGTTCAAATAATAAACATTGATTTTCACTATGTCCTCAGGAAGGTGCATTAAAGTATCCCTTTATAATGTGAACTCATCAATTTCTCCTTATTAATTTTTCTAAGTACATTTTAAGGCTATTATTATTCAGTTCCTGCAACTACAGAATTATTATATCTTCTGGATAAATTTAATCTTTTGTTGTTTTTATTGGCCAAGTTTATCTCTATTAATTTTTTGCATTAAAGATTTTTATATTCAAATTACAATAACATCCTTTTTTCATTGATACATGTTTATTATCAGCCTTTCCACCTTATTATTTTCAGCACTTTCCGATTGATTTAGGTATGCCCTTTAAACAAAAAGAGAGAGAGAGAAATATGTTTTTATCTTTTTGCCAATTTCTGTATTTTTGTTGAAGATTGTATTCATTTAAATTTCTTCTAATTACTGATAAATTTAAATGTTACTGTTTTCATTATATGTGCCATTATCTGTCCTATTATATTTCTTGTGTCTTCCATTTATTTGAATTGATTATTTTTTTCTCTTTCATTCTTTTTTCTAAATATAATTTTGGTTTGTTCAATTATATTGCTGAGAAGTATTGTATTGTATGACTATAAAATAATTTGTTTATCCATTCACCTACGGATGAACATTTGCATTGTTTTTAGTTTTGTGTATAGTTATTATAAACGTGTACGCTTGTTTTTGTGTAAACATATATTTTCATATTTATTTGTAAATACATAAGAGTAGAATTGTTAAGTCACATAGTAATTCCATGTTTACCTGTATAAGGAATTTCCATACTCTTTTGAAAGTATTCATACTTTGTATTTTATGTTTTAGGAACCATATAGGAGAGTTTCATTTGTTCTACATTTACGCCAACACTTAATATCATCAGTCTTTTAAAATCATCCACAACTGATGAATAGTGGGATTTATTTTATTTTCGTTTGTAGTTTACTGATAACTGATAATACTGGACACCTTTTCATGTGTTTATTGCTTCATATAGGTATATTTTAACATAACTGATTTGTTGACCATTCAGACTGTGCAACTTACACTTTCATATTAAAATTTACTAAGTCACAGAAAGCATGTTACAACTGCAAACCTATTCCTTCCTTCCCCTTTTCATCATTTTTAATTGAGATATAATTGACATACCATGAAATTCATCCTTATATCATATCTTAACATCAGATAGTAGTGTCTTAAAATCAAATAGTAGTAGTTCTTCCATCTTGTTCTTCTTTTTCAAAGTTCTTTTAACTCATCTAGATGTATTACATTTCTTTATAAATTTTAGAATCACTTTGTATCTTTTCTAAAAAGAAAATACACCATAGGGATTTCTTATGTGAATTGTATCAAATCTATAAATCACCTGGCAAAGAAATAACTGACATCTAAGCAATATTGAAGCTTTCATATTTTTAAAAGATAATTTTGTTTGGTGTTCTGTTTTTTCTAGTATGTGCATAGTTATAGATATTTTTTCATTAACCATGTTTAGGTTGTATTGGGTTTTCTGAATCTATGCTTTGGTGCTTTCTGTCAATTCTAGAAAATTATCAATTTTCTATTAGAATATTGTCATAACTTCTCATCCTCCTTAAACACTTATTAAAAATGTGTTAAAATCTCACTTTAACATGGTTATTTTATAAACTTTTCTTGGTGCCTTTTGGTATTTAATTCTGTGTCATACTTGCTTCTATAGTCCAATAATTCTCTCTTCATGTGTGACTAATGGTTTTCTATATTCATTGCTTAAATTTAAAAAAATTGTTACTAGAAGTTTCACTGAGCTTTCTATAAAAATGTTTAGCTATATTTTAACTCTTGCTTTGCTGATGTGTATTTTTAAAAATATATTTAGCATCATTATCTGATATTTTACATCTTATTAAACAAATATCTTTTATTTTTGAGTATTGGTTTCTTTTGCCTGTTATTTCTGCTGTCTCTCAGTCATGGTGATACTTTTCCTTGTGTACTGTTTATTTACTTGTAGATGAGTTTATCTTTCTTGGAATTTTATCTATGGGGATTCTTTGATGCTTTTGTTGCATTTGTATTTATGTATTATGTTTTATTTTTAATTGTGTATGCTGAATTGGGACCACACAAACCAAGTGTGGACTTATGGCTCAAATTTTTAGTCAATATTAATTATTTTTTATTAGCTCAGTACAAGCTCATAACAGGAATAAAAATTAAAACATCTCACCAATCTCTTTTATGCAGCATGGGCTTTTATTTTTTGTCACATTTAGACAATGCTTTTGGGATCTAGATTTATTTAGGGTCTCCTTTAGACCCATTGTGGATTTTGTTTACGCCATCCACCAAAGAAGGCATTAGAACGAAAGGTCAAACAAAGTCTTTAGCATGTGAATAAAACATTGGTTTCATGCTTTATTTTTCACGTTTCCAGCTTTCAGTTTGTATTTGGCTTTTGTGGATTTATGAGATTTATTTTTAGTGTTTGGGGTTGTGCCTTTTTCTAAAGCCACCAACTTATATTTGTGTTTTATTTATTTGTTTGGTTGGTTGGTTTTACTTTGGTTTTCTTTAGTTGAGGGATCAAGTGGAGTATCTGTTTCACTTAATGCTGGAAAAGAAACTGCCATAAATATGTTGTTCTCATCAATGAGGCTGAAACAAGTCTTCCTTGTAAGATTCTAGGCTAAGTTAAATCTCAATGTAAAAAGCGATGTGATTCATTTGAGATATTTCCTCAAGGAAAGAAAAGATGATTGGCAGCTCTAGTTCTAGGAATTTGCAATTTCTAGTCAACTTCTTTTCTTTACACTCACTAATATTTGAATGAATTTCCAGGTTCTGCTTTTTCTCCTTTTGGTCTAAGATTTACCATGTTTTTATGATGATATATATCTATATCTAGCTAGCTAAATAATTTCATTCATTATTATGGACTTTGCCAGCAAAAACTAAACTTACACTCTGAGATACATCATACTGATATATATACACCTCCATAAAGCCAAAATTATGAAATTTAAAAAAATGCTCAATGTTTTTGTCGTGTGTATAATTGTTTAGTTTAATTTTTTGCTTTTGAGTATGGAAATGTTTAATAAGGAGCTGGGATTTGGCGATGGCTGTGAGGCACGTTCTTTTTTTATTTTTAATTTTTTTAAAATTTTACGTTAAGTACCACGGTACACGTGCAGAATGTGCAGGTTTGTTACGTGGGTATACATGTGCCATGGTGGTTTGCTGCACTTATCAACCCGTCATCTAGGTTTTAAGCCCTGCATGCATTAGGTATTTGTCCTAATGATCTCCTTTCCCTTGCGCCCCACCCCCCAACAGGCACCAGTGTGTGATTTTCCCCTCCCTGTGTCCATGTGTTCTCATTGTTCAGCTCCCACTTATGAGTGAGAACATGCAGTGTTTGGTTTTCTGTTCTTGTGTTAGTTTGCTGAGAATGATGGCTTCCAGCTTCATCAATGTCCCTGCCAAGAACATGATCTCATTCTTTTTTATGGCCACTTCGTATTCCATGGTGTGTATATGCTACATTTTCGTTATCCAGTCTATCATTGATGGGCATTTGGGTTGGTTCCAAATCTTTCTAATCCATTCTAATCAGTGTTCTTTAACTATGTAAAGTGATTAAGGAATAGAATGATGGTATTTCTAAGAATAGTCTTTGGTCACATAATATATATTTTTTAGACAATACTACTACCTCTTTTCTATGTATTAAAATGTTAGTCCTATAAACACCAGGAAAGCATTGATTAAATTAATTACCTTCTAAACCTATTACATGGATACTAGAGGAAAAGAGAAGAGAAACTTCAGTCAGTACAAAAGCATAGATGTCAACTTTTGTCTTTTTACATCCAATTTTATTTCAATATTTCACAAGTATTCACTAAATTCTAAAAGTTGCAACTATTACGTAAAATGGGACCTAATGATATTTCAACTGCATTTACTGTTATTTACTTTCCAACTGCATTTTCTGCAATATAGTTTAACTGAAATCTCTTTGATTATAAGCATGCATTCCACCTTTCTACCTCAGTGTCTTTGTTCATGCCTTTTAACTTTTTTCTAACAGCCTCTAAGCCTACATATTGCTTTAGAATTCTATCTCTTATTAAGCCCTATTCAGGTGTCGTTTCCTCCATTAACCATTCACTCAATCTCTCCCACTGGAAAACACTATTCCCTCCTGTGTACTCATAGAACACTTTTTAGTAGCTTCTTGTAATCATTATACCAGTATGTAATGTATTACATTCATTTGTGTTCTGTTTTCATTTCTAAGTCAGACTGTATGCTTTGTCAAGTTAGTTCAGTTTTATTTGATTTTTTTGTTGCAGAGACATTTGAATTGAACTTATTTCATAATCTTTCTTTAATTTGGAATTCCCTCTCCCTCTGGATATCCAAACTTTATCCTTTTTTCAAACTCCAATTCAAACCTTTCCTATTCTGAAAGTCTTTACCTCAATTTCACACATAGAATGTTCTATAAATATCAATGAAGCCAAGGTGATTGAATGTATTATTCAAGCTTTTTATTTCTTTACTGATTATCTGTCTACTTTTTCTATCAACTAATGAGAGAGGGTGTTGAAATGTTTGGCTATGCCATAAGACAAAATTACAACATCTTAGTCTAAAAATCTTAATTGCTTTATTTGCAATTCTAGAATTGGGCAAGACTTCATTCCATCAAATAGAAAAAGTGTCCCAATGAGCTGGGCAGAAGAGGCTGGTTTTATAGATAGAAAAGAACTAAAGAAAGAAGTAACAAAAAATAAAAAGCAGATTGGTCATTTCAAAGTTACTTTGTGAAGCAGGAACAGTTGAAAAATAACTGGTAGCATCAGGTCACTTGAGGTTACATTTTGTTGTCAGAATTAAAGCAGAGGAAACATCATTATCATGCTGATTGAAACTGGCCTGTTTGGGAAATTAGGCTGTTAACCTCTTACTCCTGCTTTCTAGGAAGGTCAAGTAACAACTCAGTTTGGGTTTGGTGACATGGAAACTCAGCATGAGTGGCTCCATTTTGATTTTTAGTCTGGTCCGTTGAGGCCTAGTGCAGTAGCTTAGTTCAAAACAATGACTTCCTACAATTTTTATTTAAAGGCTATAATTGTCTGTTTGCCTTTTCCTACTTTCAGTTCTATCAGTTTTGGCTTCATTTATTTCCATACTTTTTTATTGTATAGATACATACATGCTTAGGATCATTATTTCCTCTTGATTAGTTGACCTCTTTATTGTTAAGAAATGACCTTGGCCGGGCATGGTGGCTCACGCTGTAATCCCAGCACTTTGGGAGGCCTAGGTGGCTGGATCACCTGAGGTCAGGAGTTCGAGACCAGCCTGGCCAACGTGGTAAAACACCGTCTCTACTAAAAATACAAAAATTAGCCGGGCATGATGGTAAGCACCTGTAATCCCAGCTACTTGGAAGGATGAGGCAGGAGAATTGCTTGAACCTGGGAGGCAGAGGTTACAGTGAACAAAGATCATGCCACTGCATTCCAGCCTGGGCGACTTTATTTTTGGTTATATTATCTCCTTTGAAATCTTTTTTGTCAGATATTAATATAGCCACTCCATCTTTCTTTGGATTATTGTAAACATGTTATAAATCTTACTCCATTGTTTTTCTTTTTATCTATTTGTGTATTTACATTTACGTATTACGTATTTATATTTAAAGTATGTTTCTTATAGGCTGCAAAGAGTTGGGTCTTGCTTTTTTATTCAATCTGACAGACTCTGCATATTAAATCTCTAGATTTTAAATAATGTATTTAGCTCTTTCACCTTTAATGTAATCATTGTTATTGTTGCATTAAGGTCTATCATCTTGCCATACACTTTCCATTTCTTCTGCTTTTAGTTTCTTTAAAATTTTGTCTAGTGTGCTTTATATTAAAAGAGCATTTTTTATAATAAAATTTGCTTTGTTATTTGTTAATTATAACTGGTCTTTGCATTATTTTGATGGTTCCTTTATGGCTTATAATGTATATTTTTAACTAATTAAAGTTGTCCTCCTGTGATATTATTTTACTTCACTCTTCAAGGTAATAAGCTGTAAACAGGTCAGTATTTATGTATGTATACACATACATATATACACATACATATATATACACATGTACATGTATATGTATATGTATATGTATATATATGTACATATATATGAAGTGGGATATATCAGAGGAGGGCAACTGTGTGTGTGTGTGTATGTGTGTGTGTATATATATATATATATATATATATATATATATGCTCTACAGTGGTATACTTCTGTTTCTCTATTTCTGACCTTTATGCCACAGTTGTCATACATTTTATGCTACATGTTATAAATCCCAAAATATATTGTTATAATTTTTGCATTTAAAAGTCAGTTATTTTTATTTTTATTTTTATTTTATTTTATTTTATTTTTTTGAGACAGAGTTTTGCTCTGTTGCCCAGGCTGGAGTGCAATGGTGTGATCTCGGCTCACTGCAATCTCCACCTCCCGAGTTCAAGCGATTCTCCTGCCTCAGCCTCCCCAGTAGCTGGGATTACAGGTGTGGGCCACCATGCCCAGCTAATTTTTCTATTATTAGTAGAGATGGGGGTTTCACCGTTATGGCCAGGCTGGTCTCAAACTCCTGACCTCAGGTGATCCACAAGCGTCGGCCTCCCAAAGTGCTGGGATTACAGGCATGAGCCACTGCACCCGGCCTAAAAGTGAGTTATTTTTAAACAAATTTAAATATAGTGTTTAAATGTTTATATATTTACCCAGGTGACTACCAATTCCAGTGTTCATCATTTCTTTGTGTAGATACAGATTTCCACCTAGTCTCACTTTTTCTTCTGCTTGAAGAACATCCTTTAAATTACCTTGTACTCCAGGTGTGCAAGTAGTATATTCTTCCAGCTCTAATGTGTCTTTATTGCACTTTAATCTTTTAAATATTTTATTATTTTCTGGGCAAAAAGTTTTAGGTTGACATTTCTTATTCTATACTGTAAAGATGTTTACTACCTTCTGGTTTGCATTTTTTTCAATAAGAATATGCCATCATTCTTAACTTTTTTCCTCTGTATACAACGCATCTTTTCTCTGTAGATGCTTTTAATAATTTCTCTTTATGATTAATTTTAATGAATTTCATTGTGATATGCCTTGGTATAGTTTTCTTCATATGTCTTACGCTTCAGTTTATTGAATTTCTTGACTATCTAGGTTAAGTGTTTTTAACAAATTTGGAAATTTTTTATTATTATTTCAAATATTTTTTGTTGTCCACTTTCTCAGGGATTATAAATATGGGTAGATTGGGCTACTTGAAGTTGTCCCCAAACTCACTAATATGCTGTTCAATTTTTTTTTTAAAAGCATGCATTTCTTTGTATGTTCCATTTCAGATAGTTCTGCTATGCCTCAACTTCATTCTTCAAGGTAGCAAGCTGTAACAATGCTAGGACTGACGTGTTTATTTTTCATCATTCAGGGATCAATGTCCTTCATCAGTCAATGTCCAATGTCCTAAAAACTTCTATTTTATATATTTTGTCTATATTTTTAGTCATTTCATGTGGGAGGATAAATCTCATTTCTGCTGCTTCATCACGTTGGAATTGTAAACTTTTAAATAAAATAAATTGTATATTTATTAACCATTTTATATGTCTCTTTTTGGATTGTCCATTTATCCATTATATATGCTTAGTTTATTTTGACTTCTGGTATATATGAACATATATATTTGTTTCCTTGTTGACATACTAAAATTTTGCTATATTAAAGATAGCAGTCTCTGTTCACACTTGTTTGAAATATTTCCTCAGCTGCTTGAATTTTGTTAAAATTTGCATATGATGAGGCAAAAAACTGAAGTTCTAAAACTTGGCAAACTCTTCTCAAATGCTTTCTTGGGTAATTTCTTCCAGTGATTTTATTATTTAGATGTCCTGTTTCTATCAAAAGGCTAAATGAGTATTTATTATGTTTTCTCTTTATTTATCTGAGTTTAATAGAGATGAGAGAGATGCATAGCACTTGTGAGGTATGGTGAGAATTTACTTATATAGTTTCAAATAGCTAGCCAGTTTCCTAGCTCCGTTGGTTGACTAAATCAACATCATTAACAGTGATACCAACTAAGAATTAAGTTCTCATTCATTTCAGGGTTTATTTCTGTTGAATTCTGTCTTTCTGTTCTTATGCTAATCTTACAGTCTTTTAATTATAACATGCTTCATTATAACTCATTTTAATATTTTTAAAAGAATTTTCACTCTTTACTTCTCTCTTTGAAAATATTCTTGGCTCACCTGTTCTATTATCTTTGTTTTTTTCAAATTCTCCCAAAATATGCAACTGGAATTTTTTAATTAAAATTTGTTTCAACAGTTATAATAATTTAAGAAGAATTAAAATAGTCACAAGATGTAGCTTTCATCTGAGTCAGACAATATGCACAGTACATTTCTTTTATTTCTTTTTTTATATATCCTAGTAGAATTTTATAGCTTTCTTAAAATATGCCAAATCTCTCTCCTGCTGCTTTTATTTCTAACTATTGCTTATTATTTGTGTGTTTTAATTTTTATTGTAAATTGTGTCATTTTCTCAGTGTTATTTTCTAACTAGCTTGTTGGGATAATGGAAAGGTTATGATAATAGCATATGTAGCTTTTAGCTGGCCACTGTTTATTACTTATTAATTATGGATATGACTTGATTGAAGACATTAAGCAACTTTAGTTTGAATAATTATCCTCAGGACCTAACCTCATTTAATATATAATAATTTTAATTTTTTTTAAGAATTATGTGTAAGTGCTAAATATAAAACAAAACTCCTAGAAGCAAAATTTTATGGACATAGCTTCTTTAAAAACATTAATCACAGCCGGGAGCAGTGGCTCATGCGTGTAATCCCAGCACTTTGGGAGGCCAAGGTGGGTGGATCACCTGAGGTCAGGAGTTCGAGAACAGCCTGGCCAACATGGTGAAACCCCGTCTCTGCTAAAAAAGTACAAAAATTGGCTGGGTGTGGTGGCGAGTGTCTGTAATCCCAGCTACTCAGGAGGCTGAAGCAGGAGAATCGCTTGAACCCAGTAGGTGGAGTTTGCAGTGAGCCCAATTCCCACCACTGCACTCCAGCCTGGGCAACAAGAGAAAAATTCTGTCTCAAAAAAAAAAAAAAAAAAAATTATCACAAGAACTGAAATTAAGTTTAGTTGTCTTATAAACATTTTTTTTTAGAACAGATATCACTGTGATTACCAGGCCAAAAAAAGATTAATTCATCCAACAAACATTATTGAATGTACACTATGTGCCCAGCACTTTTTTTGAAGTGTTGGAAATACAGTGGTCAAAGAGTAGAAGAAAAGTCTTTCTTTACTGAATTTAGTTCAGTAAGGAGAGCTATATGGAAAACATGTAAACTAAACATAATTGGTGAAATACATAAAATGTCAGATGGTGAGAGTTTGATTCCAAAAAGTAAAGAAGAGAAATAAATAAGGATGCCAGGATTAGAGTGAATGTGGCCAATTTAGATTGGAGGTAAGGAAAGGTATCACTAGGAGATCATGTTTGAACTAAGAGAAGGCAATGTAAGGAGATAAGAACTATGGATATCTGGGGAAAATAAAACAAACTTAAAAATGTAAATGAATATGAAAGCTTCTTAAAACTTTACTTAGGGAGGTAATTATTTGTTATGTAAAGTTTTGTATCTTTTCAATTGAGGGAGGGCCTCTCAGTGTTTGAGTCCAGCTTGAGTCACTTCTAAGGTTTAAAGCTTCAGTATACATTATCTGCAGAATTAAGATCCTGCCTCCTTGAGGCAGGATTAAGATTCTGCTTCAAGGCAGGATTATAGGTATTGTGATAAAATGTGAGTGATTATGTTAAGCGAATTAATAGTTTTAATGCAAAATAATAGAGTGTAATAAAATTTATCTTGTATTTATAAAATTCTTTATTTCCAATTAATTCATTGTGTACCACAAGTGAAATGGTTCAGAAAGAATTACACAAGTTTAAATTCGCACAGATCACTTCTTTCTTTCTTTCTTTCTTTCTTTATTTTGAGACGGAGTCTTACTCAGTCGCCCAGGCTGGAGTGCAGTGGCGCGATTTCAGCTCACTGCAACCTCTGCCTCCTGGGTTCAAGCAATTCTCCTGCCTCAGCCTCCTGAGTAGCTGGGATTAGCCACCACACCTGACTAATTTTTGTATTTTTAGTAGAGATAGGGTTTCACCATGCTGGTCAGGCTGGTCTCCAACTCCTTACCTTGTGATCCGCTGGCCTCGGCCTCCCAAAGTGCTGGGATTACAGGCTTGAGCCACCATGTCCGGCCCAAATAACCTCTTGTAAAATCCCAGTCTGTCAGTGTATCCCTTTTACTATATTCATAAAGTCATTTAAAGATGATCTGAAAACCTGGGGCCACAGCAAACATAAATTTTGAGTAAATGGCATTGCAGATCCCACCTCTGCTTCTCCAAGTCCTTCTATCTATTGAATTTAGTTTCCTACATCATGAGTATATTTCTTTTAAGAAGGAAAATTCTAAGGAAACATTCCTATATTTTAGGCTTACTAAATTAAATTTAAAAATAACATAAACTTGTTAAACTTTTGTAAGTAATGCTAAAATGCTTGGCAAATGGGAATGACAAAACAATTTTAATGAATAGCAAAATCCGATCACGGGAAGACCAATAAAATGCACAATGAAAACAGAGCAGCCTACACTGATGATGGAAGTTTTTGATCTTTATTAAATCAAAAGTAGCCTCTAATTTACTACAGACGATATGGTGATTCCCATTTTTTAATCTACCTGATGATATGCATTGTTTTGAAAGTTGAAAGCGTTCTTATATCTACCTAGAACTTATATCTTATTTTTGCCCTCCTCTGAAGTAAATTTTCCAAAAACTCTTTTGTGATATACTATTGCATTCTGTAAATACATATAAAACAGGTGAGAGGAAGGCGAGCCATTAAAATTTAACTTATTTTCATCTGGGGCTGGTGGGGCACACCTGTAATCCCAGTTCTTTGGGAGGCCAAGGCGAGTGGATCACTTGAGCCTAGGAGTTCAAGACCAGCCTGGGCAGCCATGGCAAAACCTATCTGTACAAATAAATACAAAAATTAGCTGGGCACGGTGGCACGCACCTGTGGTCCCAGCTACTCAGGAGGCGGAAGTGGGAGGTCTGCTTAAGCCTGGGAGGCAGCGGTTGCGATGAGCAGAGATTGTGCCATGTACTTCAGCCTGGGTGACAGAGTGAGACCATGTCTAAAATAAATAAAATTATTCTAATTTTTGCCAGTGTCGATTTTTGTTTAAAAATCAATTAAAGAAGCATTTGTGGTTCAATTTTAAATGCTATAAATAGAATTTTATTCAACAGCTTTTATTATCATAAAGACTTAGAAAATATTTGGCTTCATTAAATGCCAAATTTTCATATTTACAAAAATAGTAAAATATAACTCCTTGTATAGCAGCAATAATTTACATTCCTGGTTTTACTGAAGAATCACATGGGGAGATCCATCAGGTGCCCATTCTCCACAGATTGTGATTGAATGTGGGTCGGGGAGAGCACTGGCACTTTTTTTTTTTAAAGCTTCACTCATCTAGGGAACATCGGCTGGGACTAAGAAGATGTTTCCGGTAGGCACCTTTATTATACAATTATGCAGTAATAACTTGTTGTATATAATGTAGATCAGCAGCATAGAGGTCCCCTGAGAGTTTATTAAAAATGCACAATCTTAGGTCCCACCCCAGGTCTACTGAATTTGAATCTGTATGCTGACAACACTCTCAAGTGATTTGAATTAAGTTAGAAGTTAAGAAGCATTGTTGTGGGATCTACCCCTCCTTTGGAAGGCACTATTCCTGATTCCTAGAGATAATCAGGCTATGAGAGACATGTGAAACTGAGATAAATAAAATAAAACAAACCAACAAAAACATATAATGTCATCTTATATATATTATTTAAATGTAACATAAGCTTTTATGGACTGGAATATTCATTATTCTATCAATGTTTTCAGGTTATATAAACAAACATCATAATCAGCTGAAAGTTTGCTTGGCCATCATGGTATTGTTAATAGAACCAGAAAAGTTGCATGCATCAGCTAAGATGTGTGATGCATTCCTCACTATGGGAAGAGTCTTGCCTACGGGAAATACTTGAAATCTCTTGGCTGCAACACCCTTCGCCCATCTTTATGACAGAGAACTAGGAACAATATACTGGAAATGCTCCCTCTAGGGACAACACTTTCAAGAGCTGTTTCCACTTTTGCTTTATGATACAGGTTCAACGTACCTAATCTGAAAATCCGAAATTTGAAATGCTCCAAATCCAAAATGTTTTGAGCACCGACATCATAATGCCACGCATGGAAAATTCTACACCTGACCCTATGTGATGGGTCACAGTCAAAAATGCCATTAAAACTGTTTCATGAACAAAATTACTAAAAATATTCTATACAATTACTGTCAGGCTGTGTGTATAAGGTATATTAAAGCATATATGAATTTCATGTTTAGACTTAAGTTTTCATCCCTGAGATAACACATTATGTGTAGGTAAATATCCCTAAATTTTAAAAGAATCCAAAAATCGGAAACTTCTGACCCCAAGCATTTCAGATAAGGGATATTCAGCCTTTAGCTATTTACTTTCTTGCTTTGCATAGCTTACCCCACCTTCTTATTTTTCTTTCTTAGGTAGGTTAATACATTTACCTACCTAAGGGAAAATTTAAAATGGGCTACTTCCAGATTTTGCTGGCCTAAGACTGTCTCTCTCAATGAGAATGAGCAAAGGCACTTTGAAGTAGCTTATATCTATATAGGATAATTTTCTTTCCTTCAGTTACTAATCGTTAAAGCTTTGCTCAAGCTTCTGAGTACTATCTAAATATTCCAGTACCAGAACAATATATGCTATCTCAGTCCATTCAGTAATGAATGACTGCATTTTGAACTTTTATGTACCAATTTTTAAATGATGCTCCAAATACACATAAATGAAATTCTTTATTTCTTACTTCAAGAGTTTAGTGACAATGACAATAAAACTATAACCTGGACCACACTTGAGTCATCTGAAAATCTTTCAAAAGTAGACTTCATCATGAACAAACTGCATCAGAATTTCTGAGATTGAGGCCTGAATGTTAATATTTTTTAATACCTCCCAAGATGTTCTGATTTCCAGTAGCATAAAGAACATTACTGAGAGTAGGGCTGAAAATTAATTTCTAAAACAGATAGCTCAGTAGGTCATTTTTTTTTTTCAGCATTACTGTAATTATTAAAATCTCCTCTGGAACTTTTCTAGTCAGATCTTGGTCTACAAAAGAAAACTGGACATCTTGGCTTATTAAAAAACATTTCAAGAGGGTATTCAAAATTAAACTTAAACAATAATTTAACTCATCTATCTGGGAACATTATTCATTATATCCCATTGCTTTCCAAAACTTAGTTGTGTGGAATATAGAGAAGACAATTTTCTCCTTTACTCTTCATGAGTTTTTAGCTAAGATTCCCTGCAACAAAAGGCAGATTAACAGGAGAAAAACAAGCCGGGCGCGGTGGCTCACGCCTGTAATCCCAGCACTTTGGGAGGCCGAGGCGGGTAGATCACGAGGTCAGGAGATCGAGACCATCCTGGCTAACACGGTGAAACCCGTCTCTACTAAAAATACAAAAAAAATTAGCCGGGCTGGTGGCGGGCGCCTGTGGTCCCAGCTGCTCGGGAGGCTGAGGCAGGAGAATGGCGTGAACCCGGGGGGCGGAGCTTGCAGTGAGCCCAGGGGGCGGAGTTTGCAGTGAACCCAGGGGGCGGAGCTTGAAGTGAGCCGAGATCGCACCACTGCACTCCAGCCTGGACCACAGAGCAAGACTCTGTCTAAAAAAAAAAAAGCAAGAGAAAAACAAACAGAAGCTTAATAACATAAATACCTCCTTTGTACATGGGATAGAAACAAGAAAAATGGGCAGATCTCTAGAGTAGATCTCAAAGAATTGTCTTATACCTCAGATGCAAACACTACCATTCTCTGAAACAAAGGCATAAGGATGTAGGAAAGGTTTTGTTAAGAAAGATGACCAGGAAAAGCAAAACACAAGCAAAGTTTGTCACGCATAGTGAAGTCGATTTCTTCTCCATTGATTGAGTCTTCGGTTATGTAGTTATTCTTCTCTTCCTGGTGCGGAAAGAGAGGGAGAGAAAGAGAGAGAGAGAGACCCTTGAAAACATCTATACATTTCCTTTATAGACATAAATTTATCTTACACAAGGGAAACTTCCAGCCTTGTTTCTAGTATTCTTCCTGTGTCTGCAGTTTCTCAAAATATCTAGCTCCAAATAATCCTAAGCCAGAGAGGCATATTTAGGGTGAAATAGTCTGAGTGCAGCCTTATTTTGGGGTGACATGTTCTGAACTCTATAAGAAATTAAAACAATCTAAATTTTTGGTGAGATATTTTCAAAATTTCATTATTTCTTAATTCTACATAATCATCATTATTTCAGTATTTTATTAAATTAGTGGAAAATTACATGTGATTTAATAAGTGCTTTATTTCCCTAACCTCAAATTATTTGGGGCAATTTCCAGATGTATAGTATGAAATCATGGAGCAATATTTGACATTTGGTGATGTAATTAATTTTATATTTTACTTAAGGCTTATTAAAACAGCTGTTATATAACAATTTAAACAAATGTTCAAAAATCTTAATTGTACAAAATGATTTTGGCTTTTTTCCCCCAAGCCTGAGACATTCTGATATGATGTACAGTACCAAACATTGATCAAAAGCTAAAAATGTCTCCAGGCATAGTTGTTATATATAAATTTGTGTGTGTGTATGTGTGTGTGTGTGTGTGAGATATATATATATATATATATATATTTTTCCCCCCCAGGGTTATGGTGGCTATATTGCATCAATGATCTTAAAATCAGATGAAAAGCTTTTTAAATGTGGATCCGTGGTTGCACCTATCACAGACTTGAAATTGTATGGTGAGTACTTTCTACAGACTGACCTAGTATAATGTATTGATTTGTAGAAAACGAAAGCCCAATTTAGAATAGCTCAATTGAGCTCATTTATCATATGTTATTAGAGCCTGTTTTCAGCTGTTTATCTCCTCCTTGATTCAGCTGATTTTACTAAAGCATGACAATTAAATGTAAAATGAAGAAATTAATGAAATATGCCAGTCAAATAGTTTTTAGTTTCTTCTCGAATGTCTGTTTTCTTGGGTCACAGCCTCAGCTTTCTCTGAAAGATACCTTGGGATGCCATCTAAGGAAGAAAGCACTTACCAGGTAACTAATTTGAAAATAACAAAGAAAGAGGAGTATTTTTGTTCTAAAAAATTAGTTAAATGGCTTATTTAGATCTATAGATACAGATATTTGTATTTTCCTTTATAGGCAGCCAGTGTGCTACATAATGTTCATGGCTTGAAAGAAGAAAATATATTAATAATTCATGGAACTGCTGACAGTAAGTATTATACTTGCCGCTGCTGTTTGATAGGGTATGACCTTTTACAAAGGGATACATCTAAGGACTTGCTTACAGGAAGCCCTGTAAACCTTCTGAAGAAGGGAGCAGAGAGTCACACAAAGAATCAGATACATGATAGAAGGTGGGAAAAAAGAATTCAGAGATAAGAGGAGAGGAGGCTATTCCTCAAATGGCAGCGTTGTCCAATCAAACTCCCTGTAATGATGGAAATACTTTATCAATGTTGCTGAAAAAGTAGCCACTGGCCACTTGTGGCCATACCTTGTTTAGTGTGACTGAGGAACTGAATTGATTTTATTTAATTTTAATTTAAAAAGGCACTTGTGTCTAGTGACTATGGTTACAGTGTTATTCAGCACACCTAAAATGGAAACCAACCTGGAAAACAGAAACCAAAAAGCTGCAAGCACTGACATGAAATTCTAATGAGGTTACCCGCTTAAATGAACTTAAAAACTTTAAAAAGGCACTTTCATATCATCTCTCATTTTTTCATCACTTTAAACCTTGGAGGTGGATGTGATTGATGTTAGTAGTAATAAATAATATCATTTTATATTTACATGACACTCTTAGGGACCAAAGAATCTATATTTTATTATCCTCTGTGATATTTTACAACAGACAGCTGAATATTTATAGCTTCATTCATGGATGAGAAAAATCAATTTCAAAAAGGAAACAGATTTATCCAAGGCCATCTGGCAAGTGAGACAAGAAAGTCAAAGTCTTGAATCAATATTTCCTAAATCTTGAACTTAACTTCTTCCTCTTTAGGGTGGGTTCCACTGAATGATTTGCTTCAAGGGTACTATATGGAAAAAGAGAGAAAGAGGAACTTTACAGTGGAGAAATTTGACAAACATCACATCAACAGTGACAAGTCATGTTATTACTGTTATTAAATGCCCTTGATATGATGTAGTGGGGATGGCACTTTACCTCCATGGTTTAGTACTCCAAGCCCATACATAACACCAGTCTAACCATGAGAAAACCATCAGGCAGATCCAAATGAGGAAAATTCTATCAGATATCCAGCCAGCACCCCTCAGAACTGTTGGGGTAATCAAAAAAAAAAAAAGTCTAAGAAACTCTCATAGACCAGAGGAAGTTTAAAAGACATGATGTCTAAATATAATGTGGGATTCTGAATGGAACCCTGGAACAGAAAGGGTACACAGGAAAACAACAATAAGAACACCAACAAGAAAAACTAGTGCACCCCAAATAAAGTGGGTTTAGTTAGTGGTAGTATATGAGTCTTAGTTTCTATTTGTGACAAAGTATATAATAATATAAGATGTTAACAATGGGGAAACTGGAGGACGGGTATCCAGGAACTCTGTACTATCTCTGCAACTGTTCTGAAAATGTAAAGCAATTATAGTATTAATAGTCTATTAAAGAAAGAGGTAGATGATACAGTACCAGTGTTGGGTGAAACATGATGAAAGAGAGCGTAAAAATTTTGAGGGACATTTGGATGTTGTTCTAAGGTATTAAGACCTTACATATATATCAACAGTAATAAAAATAAATAGCAATTATGTACTCATTGTATGTCAGAAAATGTGCTAAAAGCATTTAATATTATCTTATTTGTACTTCTTGCAAACACGGAATAGTAGATGTTATTACTTTCATTTAACAGATTGGGAAAATAAATATTAGGAAATGATATAACTTCCTTAAAAGAGTAGACACAATTGATTAGTAGGAAGGAGATTTGAATCCATGTATTGAGCCTTTTATTCACTGTGCCCTGAAGCCTTATTCATATGAATAAATTATATTCAAGGTTAAATTATTGTATGTCTACCCATCATGCTGGACTAATATATTAGTGCTATTTCAAATTTCTCTGTCAATATGTTGTAGCTATAAAGGTAAATCATTGTTCTATCTGACTCACTCAGTCACAGGCCTGGCGCTTCACCCATCTAATAAAATACAAGCAGAGGTTCAGCCCTGGTCCCTGGAGAGGAAATGCACCTGTGAATGTGTGTGAGCACACACACACATAGGCACACACACACAGGCACACACATACACATACCACACAACCCATACGGGCCTGGTGAATTATAGGTGCTCAGTCATGACACTGTAACACCACTACTATTAATATTATCTTCAAAAATTACCAGCAAATGAATTCAATCACCCAGTCAAACCTGTAATGTTCCCTTTTAGCTATAGTAAACAGACAAATAGCAACAAATATCAATGGACTTTGCATTAGAAACTAAGCAGAAAAAAAATCCAATTGGAAAAATCCTTTTGCACATTTATTTTCAGCTGTCTCCATGCAGACAAATAAGGGATCACATTACCTCTGTCATTGACCTTATTAATTAGCATTTCTAGAAGCTTACATTTATAGAGCAGTTTGTACTTATGTAGCAATGACAAGGTCATTTTCCCATTAAGTGCCATAGGAAGATGTTGAAAAAGATCTTGACTATCTAGTTTTTTAATAGGTTTAAATGATTGTTTGCCATTTTACATTCTCTGCTGTGTGGTCTGATTATTCAGCATTCTAGAGTTAGAGCATTAAAGAGGCTTAAACTATTGATAAGGCTGCCCTAATTTTGCAACGACAATTAAAAATGTTAGCTTAGGCTGGGCGCGGTGGCTCACACCTGTAGTCCCAGCACTTTGGGAGACCGAGGCAGGCAGCTCACGAGGTCAGGAGTTTGAGACCAGCCTGACCAACATGGTGAAACCCCGTCTCTACTAGAAATACAAAAATTAGCTGGGCATGGTGGTGCACGCCTATAATCCCAGCTACTCAGGAGGCTGAGGCAGGAGAACTGTTTGAACCTGGGAGGCAGAGGTTGCAGTGAGCCGAGATCGTACCACTGCACTCCAGCCTGGGCAACAGAGCAAGACTCCATCTCAAAAAAAAAAAAAAAAAAGGCAGCTTAAACATGAGTTACAGAAATCTGAAGATACACAAACTACAGGAATGAACACCCTAGACAGAATGTGAGCCAACTTCTGCAGAAAGAGATTTGAGTGACTGCACCAAATCTTCATAGCTACCAAACCCATGGCTATTGGGCTGCTTACTTCAGAATCTTGGATCTTAGGTTCTGGCAGAAGGAAGATAAAGCAAGAGTAACCAGTATGCTCTATATTAAATAGTTAGTCCTTGTATAATGAGATGTGTATTCTATTTTCTCAGTATGGGGTATTCTTTTCTAATTTTGAATAATAAAGCAGAATGCCAGTATCCAACTGAGACTGTGCCCTAGTAATCTTCAAAATGAAATAGATAGCTGGTTTCCTGTATTAATATCCAGAAAAGACATTTGCCATATTAAAATTTTTTATAAATTTTATAAAATTTATAAAAATATGTGTACCATTAGGAATAATAAATACTATCCAGTAAAGTAAATATAAACACCATTCTGTAGAGTAAGTAGGACTTAGTTGTAGCTACTGTTTTGCTTTTTTGTTTAATAGAGTGAAGCTCAAAGTTTTACCATTGTATTTGTATTTACCAGCTTTCTACCTAAAGCCAGATATAAGGTTTTTTGGTTTTTTTTTTTTTTTTTTTTTTGAGACGGAGTCTTGCTCTGTCGCCCAGGCTGGACTGTAGTGGCACGATCTCTGCTCACTGCAAGCTCCCCACTCCCGGGTTCACGCCATTCTCCTGCCTCAGCCTCTCGAGTAGCTGGGACTACAGGTGCCCGCCACCACACCGGCTAATTTTTTATATTTTTTAATGGAGATGGGATTTCACCGAGTTAGCCAGGATGGTCTCGATCTCCTGACCTTGTGATCGGCCCACCTCGGCCTCCCAAAGTGCTGAGATTACAGGCGTGAGCCACCGTGCCCAGCCAGATATAAGTCTTTTAAATGTGCAATGTATGTAAAATAAAACACTGAATCTCTTTGAAAAATAATATGAAAAAGTTCTCATACAAGCAGTGTGTTTCTTCAGATATCATAATTTGATTTCTTGCAGCAAAAGTTCATTTCCAACACTCAGCAGAATTAATCAAGCACCTAATAAAAGCTGGAGTGAATTATACTATGCAGGTAAGCTACTTTCTTAGAAGAACGTGTTTTCCTGCTGTGTTTTTTCACTTGTGAGATACGCAACACAGCTTCTCTATTATTCCATTCTCCCTACTATTATTTTTTAATATGTTTTTTAGTTACCAAAGATTGTGTTCTCTGTTCCTGATTACACCGAGAATGTGGATGAACTCATGCTTTACAAGTGAATTGCATGAATCCTTTCTAAATTGTCATTTTCCTCTCAGACTTATTCATATCCCAAATATTGAATTCTTTTAAAAGTAACAAGTTTCTACTTCCCTTCTTGTTCCTTTTATCTTTTCTTCCTTTTGTTGTTCCTTTCTTCCTTTTCTTGTTCCTTTTGTCTTGTTCCTTTGTCTTTATTATTAAATATGAGAGTTTATTATTAATTTATTTTTAAATATGATAATTTATAATTCTCATAATAAATAGTGGATAAAAAATGTTTGGGGAAATATTACAAGAAAAGAAGAGAGGATAAAAGGCCATTTGCACTACCATTTATGTCTGTGCATTCATACATTTAATATATATTTATCAAGGACATTACAGTGGTCACTCTGCTCTATGAGTAACAAGACATACATTACACTGTCAAGGAGGTTCCAGTCTGATATAAGAGTCATAGAAGGAAAAAGTAAAGTCATTTAAATTTCTCAGCATTCAGAAGAACCAAAAGTTGCTCAACCTGTCTAAAACACAAACTACCACGTTTAGGATAATGAAATATGAAGCTATACAGATAAACAAATGTCAGGTCATTCCATAAGCAATGTTGAGGAGTATGGAGTTTTATTCAAAGGGCAATGAGGCGCCATTTAAACCTTTGTACTCAGGAATTAATGGGATAATATTTGTATTTTTTATTTGTATTTTAGAAACAGTAACAATTTTGTTTACATTGGAAAGGGAATTGTCAAAGTAAATAATTGCACCAGACAATGTTAAAGAGGCAAGGAAGACCTTATGAAAAACTACTGCAAAGGAGACAAAGACTGAACTCAATGCTCTTTAAATAAAGAGCTGGAAAGTTTTCTAAACTAAATACTCCTAAAAAGGGGAGGAGAGGCCAAGGGCCTTTAGTCAAAAAGAAACTGTCCAAAGTTTAGTCAAGCTGAGGGCAAGGTTAGTCCATCTCAGTCAACATAAACATGAAAAAGTCTACCTTTTATGGCCAACATATTCTAATTTAAATACCAAATATTAATTGACATGATTACAATTGTTTTAAAAGTTTAGCATGAATAACTTAGAGTAGAATTAGGTTTGATTTTGGTCAGATATTATTACTCAAAGTTTCCATGACGTTAGGGCTCAGAAAATGAATGCGAGAGACAATAGCTTCTTGGATAATTTGAAATCTTCTTTCTCCTCAATATCTTAGGTCTACCCAGATGAAGGTCATAACGTATCTGAGAAGAGCAAGTATCATCTCTACAGCACAATCCTCAAATTCTTCAGTGATTGTTTGAAGGAAGAAATATCTGTGCTACCACAGGAACCAGAAGAAGATGAATAATGGACTGTATTTATACAGAACTGAAGGGAATATTGAGGCTCAATGAAACCTGACAAAGAGACTGTAATATTGTAGTTGCTCCAGAATGTCAAGGGCAGCTTACGGAGATGTCACTGGAGCAGCACGCTCAGAGACAGTGAACTAGCATTTGAATACACAAGTCCAAGTCTACTGTGTTGCTAGGGGTGCAGAACCCGTTTCTTTGTATGAGAGAGGTCAAAGGGTTGGTTTCCTGGGAGAAATTAGTTTTGCATTAAAGTAGGAGTAGTGCATGTTTTCTTCTGTTATCCCCCTGTTTGTTCTGTAACTAGTTGCTCTCATTTTAATTTCACTGGCCACCATCATCTTTGCATATAATGCACAATCTATCATCTGTCCTACAGTCCCTGATCTTTCATGGCTGAGCTGCAATCTAACACTTTACTGTACCTTTATAATAAGTGCAATTCTTTCATTGTCTATTATTATGCTTAAGAAAATATTCAGTTAATAAAAAACAGAGTATTTTATGTAATTTCTGTTTTTAAAAAGACATTATTAAATGGGTCAAAGGACATATAGAAATGTGGATTTCAGCACCTTCCAAAGTTCAGCCAGTTATCAGTAGATACAATATCTTTAAATGAACACACGAGTGTATGTCTCACAATATATATACACAAGTGTGCATATACAGTTAATGAAACTATCTTTAAATGTTATTCATGCTATAAAGAGTAAACGTTTGATGAATTAGAAGAGATGCTCTTTTCCAAGCTATAATGGATGCTTTGTTTAATGAGCCAAATATGATGAAACATTTTTTCCAATTCAAATTCTAGCTATTGCTTTCCTATAAATGTTTGGGTTGTGTTTGGTATTGTTTTTAGTGGTTAATAGTTTTCCAGTTGCATTTAATTTTTTGAATATGATACCTTGTCACATGTAAATTAGATACTTAAATATTAAATTATAGTTTCTGATAAAGAAATTTTGTTAACAATGCAATGCCACTGAGTGCTATTTTGCTCTTTTGGTGGAGAAGGCTTTTTTCAAAACTCTTGGTCCTTTTACTTCTTTCTCTCAGTGCAGAATCAATTCTCATTTTCATCGTAAAAGCAAATAGCTGGATTATTTCATTTGCCAGTTTCTATTTAGTATTCCATGCCTGCCCAATTCATCTGTTACTGTTTAATTTCAATTCTTCTGGTGAGAATTAGAAATGAAATATTTTTTATTCATTGGCCAAAAAGTTCACAGACAGCAGTGTTTGCTATTTACTTTGAATTGAAGGCACAAAATGCATCAATTCCTGTGCTGTGTTGACTTGCAGTAGTAAGTAACTGAGAGCATAAAATAAACCTGACTGTATGAAGTCAATTTAAGTGATGAGAACATTTAACTTTGGTGACTAAAGTCAGAATATCTTCTCACTTCACTTAAGGGATCTTCCAGAAGATATCTAAAAGTCTGTAATAAGCTTAGAAGTTCAGATAAATCTAGGCAGGATACTGCATTTTTGTGGTTTTAAAAAAGTCCTTAGGACAGACTGAATTATCATAACTTATGGCATCAGGAGGAAACTTTAAAATATCAAGGAATCACTCAGTCACCCTCCTGTTTTGTTGAAGGATCAACCCCAAATTCTGGGTATTTGAGTACATGTGAATCATGGATTTGGTATTCAACTTTTTCCCTGGATGCTTTGGAATCGTGTCTTCCATGCTCCACTGGGTTCAATTTAAAATAGGAGAGGCTTTCTCTTCTGAAAGATCCATTTTAGGTCTTTTTCAAGAATAGTGAACACATTTTTTAACAAAATAAGTTGTAATTTTAAAAGGAAAGTTTTGCCTATTTTATTAAGATGGAAATTTCTTTTTAGGCTAATTTGAAATCCAACTGAAGCTTTTTAACCAATATTTTAAATTTGAACCACTAGAGTTTTTTATGATGCAAATGATTATGTTGTCTGAAAGGTGTGGTTTTATTGAATGTCTATTTGAGTATCATTTAAAAAGTATTTGCCTTTTACTGTCATCATTTCTCTTGTTTTATTATTATTATCAATGTTTATCTATTTTTCAATTAATTTAATACAGTTTCTAATGTGAAAGACATTTTTCTGGAACCCGTTTTCCCCTTAAACACTAAAGAGACCTCAAGTGAAAGCATATTGCTTAGTAGGAAGGTAGAAAATGTTAATCCCTGCGATTCTTTGAGTTTTAATGACAGGGTCATTTTCAGTAAAGGAAATGCTCACCAACACATAGTCACCAACTATTAAAGGAATCATGTGATTGGATTTTCCCCTGTATACATGTACCCTTGGTCATAATCCCACTATTTCATACATATTTATGCATTGCTAGATTTTCCTAGGACTCCAATAGCATGCTTTCCAAGTGTTATTATTCCCTTAATGTTAAAGAAAAAAATCAATATATTGAATTCTTTAATTAAATAGGTAAGCAGTATTAAATCATCCACAGAGATAAACAATCTCTTGAAACTCTTTTGAAAGAGAAAAGTGTTTGTTCACTTTCATTGCCTTCATTAAGATCTCCAAATACTCAGAGACTAAGCAGGCTATTCTCATCTCTTTGAGTTTCCTGACAGAACTAAAGGAAGGAATCACTCTTCAAAAGATGGATCTCACTTCACTCTGAAAATGTGCCTTTTTTTAATTGGGTGTTTAGCATAAAAATCACTATTGGGGATCTTACAGATGTCTGTTGTAGATCTATTACAATGAGGTGACTTAGACATTGGGCTTTACCATATTAGAGAATTACTTAAGCCATTGTCCTTCAAATGTTGGGCTTGGAGACAGAAGTACCTTGGACTGAATTGCTTTCAAGTCTCTAGAATCACTGACAGCACATAGCTTCTATGAGGAGTTATATATGAAATACCACTTGTGTCCCTCCTCAAGTTCTCTGACCACCTTCACATCCTGCGGCCACCAACACTGTATGGATACAATCTGGCCTCTCAGCTCTGCTCACTTTCACTTTCTGTTCTGGGGATTCTCTGATACTAATTTTGGCTACTTGGTAGAACCAAGAGACAAATCGCTTACATGCTGCAAACCGATGTGAAGGTGTTACTAACCCGCTAAAACACAATTAATGAAAGACTGTAGCAGGTAACTGATCTTTCCCTCAGATATTCTACATGGTCCATGGAAGACTCTGTGGGCCGCAGAAGCCCATAGCTGCATACCCTTCTATTTTCCTCTTCCCCATTTCACTCTTTTAAGCTCCCTACTCCTATTCCCTATGATCACTTTCCAAAATAAACGGCAGGTGTGCTAGCTGTTGTCTTAGACTCTGCTTTCTGGAAACTATTTTTCCCCTCCACAAGAAATTATCACTGTGAATATTACAGGAGGAGAAATAAAATAAGAATAAATCAGTGGTTTATTTTCAGGTTCGAATAAACTCTTTCTAATGAAAATGTATTGGACTCTTACTAAGTGCCAAACCTATGATAAATGCTCTACATGCACTATCAAATTGAATCTTCTCAAAATGCCCTAAGGAGGTATTATGTTTCCCATTTTACAGATAAGGAAATTCAGTTTTAGAGAAGTATGTAGCTTGCCCACATTTATGTAAGTAGTAAGTAAAAACACTAAAACCCAGCACCAGCCAACTTAGAAGTTCATGTTCTTAGTGATTCTGCTCTCCAGCACTCCTGAAATAAGGAGAGTTAACCCATGTTGACAGCACATGAGAAAACATTCTGAATATTTAAACACATGGTTCCAAATATTTTTGAGAATAGTTTCATAGCAATAATACTGAAAAGTAATGGGCAAACTAATTTACCATTGTGGAATGTTTGAAGATACATGAATTCCCTAATGTCAAGAGGACATATGTAACATTAAAACATGTTTTCTTTCTCCGTTGAAGATACGTAAGAGTTATTCTTGTGCATGGAAACCCTTGCTCAGAAGACCATGACTATATGCTTGGAAGTCATTAGTAAATCTCCTTGCTTGGACATTATACCAAAAACACTGCAAAATCATTCAGAGATGCATCTATATACTGCAGAACCATTATATTGTTCAAAACACCCAGGCTTGTAAACATGAAAACCTCATGTAGTTCTCAAACCTTACAACACACACAAAGCATGTCACATTTCAAGTCATAGCAGACACCCACAATCCTATTTGCAATCTGACGCAGGAAAGTTGCATTACCTCCCACTTTTCTACTAGTGTAGAAATAGATTTGCTTTACCACTGATCAGATCTGCTAACAACACTTTTATTTCATTTAGCAATATTCCAGCAATTGTTGAGGAGAGATTCTGTGAATTCGAAAAAAATCCCTCTCTCATAAACAAGGCAGACAGGTTTTAAAAAGAAAATAAGTCACATCAAAGTACAATTTTTATTATTTCTCTTTTAGACTTCCAATTAAGCTTATGGTCGACTGATACAAGCATCACAGACTTCTAATAACAACAGTTGGGATAGTAAGAAAATTTCTGTGCCAATTCTCACAACCTGTCTATTTCTATCATACCTACCCCCGTTGTAACGAAGTTATTTTTGACATGTGTGAAGCTTGAGAATGCAGATTTCTATCCGGCCAGTTGCATCAGAGAAAAGGAACTCACATTTATTCTACACCTATGCTTTTTGTTACATAAGCTCAGCTAATCCTCAGTCCAGCCATATGAGATACATACTATTGTTCTCTGATAAAGAAATCAAGATTCAGAGAAATTAAACAATTTTCCAACAAAGCCACATAGTGCGTAAATGATGGAACCAATATTTGAAGTTAGACCCTGATGATCTCCAAGCCCTCACATGTGATGGTTTTATCCATGCATTTTTTAAAGCTAGTTCCTAAAGTTCATCATCATCTCTTTGGATTCAGTTTTCAATGAATCCTCACTGTTCAAAGATGGACATCTTTGAACCCTCACTGTTCAAAGATGCCATTTTGCATGCTTCTGGCTGCAGGGAACTAAATACAAAATTTTAAATGGCTTAAATACTTGTGATTCAATATATGCACAGCTTGGACGTCACCTGGGAGTTTGTTAGATATGTATACTCTAAGGCACTACCATGACCTTCTTGAATCAGAACCCGAATGTTAACAAGATCCCCAAGTGATGTGCACATTAAAGTTTGAGAAACACTAGCTTCAATGATAGGAACTATTACTGATTCACATTCCAGGAGCGCTAAAGTTGGGTGCTTCTAGGTCAGTTAACTGATCAATGATACACTCAAATCCCAGTCTCCTCCCAAGTTTACACTTTTGCTTTGGTCTGCTTTTTGTTCCCTGCCTTGTTTTCAGATAACTGCAGCTGCCCCAGGCAATGTATCATCTTTTCGGAGCATTGTCCAAGGATAGAAAGTCAAAGGACGACTCTCCTCTTGCCTATCTTTTATCGGGAAAGATAATTTTCTCCGGAAGTCTTAAGAAGGATTTTCTCAGGTCCCTTTGTACTCTACAGGCTTTCATTGCAGGCCCTTCTCCTAGATATAAGGAAAGCTGGGAAGCAATACATCTGAATTTGCAATCTCTTTGGTAAGGGTGCCACAAGGAAGAAGGATACGAGAATGAACATAAATGAGATCAAGGCACCGAGGGAAAGGTACACCCTACCCACGGCGATAAGGTCCTTGATGCTGGCATCTCATCTGGAGGAATACCTCAAAGTATTAAACATTAAAAGCTGTGTTTTATACATAATACAGTAGGTCGCTAGTCAGACGTGAGCAGAGGAGGAGAGGACTCCTGCCCACCACGAATGTTGGGTGACCATCATCAGGTGATGGTCAGACAGGTGTTTCACTGCCTCTTTAAAATAATAATTGGTCCTAACTAGCGCCAGGGAAAGGCAGCCTCCCAATAAACAGAAACACCTGAAACTGGTGGTCAGCAGCTTCCCAATCATATTAGTATCTCAGGAGCTGGGCTAGTGGGCTCAAGCATGCGCACCGAGAGGCGCAATGGTGGTGTTTAATTGGTATAGGACCTTCTGTCAAGGGAAGAACGCCTCAAGGGAGCACGCATGCGACTCCAGTAGACACTGTACATGCAGCCCCTCGGAAACTGTGGCAGGCCACTGCGTGTGCAGACAGCCCACCCCAAGTGAAGACTCGGGAGGCGCAACGCAAGGCCCCGTAAGTACGCCCACATATAAAACCCAAAGTCAAAAGGTCAAGGTCAAACGGTGCACTTTATCTCTCAAGTCCCCCACTTGGCCTTCTTCCAAATGTACTTTCCTTTCTTTCCTTCCTTCTCTAAAGCCTTTTACTAATGTTTCATTCCTGCTCTGACACTTGCCTTAGTCCCTCCTTCTGCCTTCTGCCTCCTCAGTGGAATCCTTTCTCCTGAGGAGGCAAGAGCTGAGCTTGCTGCAGATCCATACGGATTCACTGCCAGTAACACACAGACCCACTTTTCCTCTCGGAAGATCCCAGACATCGACTCCACTCTCTGTTCCTGAGAGTGAGTACACTCTTCCCTGGTTGACATTTACTATTTTCACCTGTGCTCTTCATCATTGACGCATTTTCCAGTGCAGGCAGGCAGTTTGGAAATGTGATTGCTGTGCTAGCAGTCCCATTTGGTAGGCTTTATCTGCTCTAACACAATTTATGATGCCTTGATTATCTCCGTATGGCCTACATTTCTGGGCACGCCATTAATCCTCCTGATTGATGGATTGTGTAAGGCACATACCAATTGGAAAAGAAAAGACCTGACAAGGAAACACAGGTAACGCAGCCTCCCAATTCATATGCACTTTTAATAGGTGTAATTCTCATTACACTCCAACTCTCTATGCCTTAGGACATCATGTGTGACTTTTAATGATCTGTAGAGTGTAATTGCATTTCAAGCCCTTGGTAAGAACAAATTGTAAATTCCCTTGCTCAGATAAAGGAAAAATTTTAACATCAGGGTTGACTTCAATCATGAAATAACACAAAGATCATTTATGCCTACTATGTACCAGGTAGTCTGCTGGATGGCACAGCGTTAGGATCCTTGTTTTAACACTGAATCTAATTAATAAGTCTAACATATGAGTGGATATTTCAGTACAAATGTTACAGCTAAATGAGTCAGCAGTTACTAAAAAATATCAGCATAGTCAATTTTTTTTTTCTATGAGACAGAGTTTCACGCTTGTCGCCTAGGCTGGAGTGCAGTGACAGGATCTGGGCTCACTGCAACCACTGCCTCCTGGGTTCAAGTGATTCTCCTGCCTCAACCTCCCGAGTAGCTGGGATTACAGGCACACGCCACCACACCCAGTTAATTTTTGTATTTTTAGTAGAGACGGGGTTTCTCCATGTTAGCGAGGCTGGTCTTGAACTCCTGACCTCGGGTGATCCGACTGCCTTGGCCTTCCAAAGTTCTGGGATTACAGGCATGAGCCACTGCGCCTAGCCCACTGAGTCATTTTTAATGCTCACCTAATTAATTGAGTGCGCTATTCTCTTGTGCCCACCCCACCTTCAAAAAATATTTCATAATGAATCTACTTTTTAAAATTTCAGTAAAAAGGGCTCCATAGCCCACTTTTATACCAAAAGTGGTTGGTCTATATGTAGTTGCCCATTCCACTCTCAATTTCAAGGACATTTGTAGTAAAGCCCTGCCATTTTTTGACAATTATTTCTTAGTCCAAATTGCCTCTGGCATAAGGGCATTGACAACAAAAGTTTAGTTTTGTTTTGTTTTGTTTTGTTTTGTTTTGTTATTCTGTGGTGTGTGGGCATTATTTTAAGTCAATTTGTCAAGGGTAGAAGAAACAAATTTACATCTCATAGAAAAATAAATATTTCCAGAGAGTGAAAAATTTTCAAAAAGTCAAATGGCTACTTGCCCCTTGCCCACCCACTGCCTTTGGATCTCAGTTGTGTCTCTACCCAGCTTGGACCCAGAACCAGCCTTTTCCTTTGTGCTTTATTGACCTTTCAGTGCTTTTCTCATTCTCCAAAACCAGGAAATTGTATAATTTGCAAGCTTTTCTTTTGTTCTTAGGTTGACAGATAATAGTAAAAGGAGTAAAGAGTTTCGATATTTGGAATTATGCTTTTAACTTCATCTGGACTCTACTCTAAATTTAAAAATTTTCTTTAACTGTTATCCACTTTTCTATCAAATTCTAATATATATTTCTTAACAATTTCCAGTTATCCTCAATTCCTAAATCCCCCTAACTTAATCTATTTCATTGAATATAATTTCTCATTCATATATGCTCTTTTTAATGTGCAGAATTTATATTATGCCCTACTCAGTTTATAAATTGCTATGATAAAATATGTTAATAATGATGAGCGCTAACATTAACTAGCTGCTTGATTTGTACCAAGTCCTAAGATATGCGCATTAACACACTTATTTTTAACTTTAAAACAGTAACTAGTTAAGTATGATCACCATCTCAACTTTTACATGAGAAAACTGCAAGCTTAGAAAATTTAAATAAGTTATTAAAGGTCAGCGGATTAGTCAAAGTAAGACATACTAGTTAGGGCAACAAAAGGAAAAGAAAACAAATTTCAGTATGTTAAGAAAATAAAGCTTTATTTTTCACTCGCATGAAGTCACATATGGGCAGGTAAAAGCTATTATTCCTTATGCCATCTGGAGCATGTGGCCTCCATGCTGTAACCTCAAGGGCAGAGAAGGTTGAAGGAGACACACAAAGCCAGCTTTCAATTGCCATCTCTCTGAAGTGACACGTATCACATCTGTTTGTAGTCTATTATTGAGGACAGCTCTGAGTCCCCACCTAACAGCACAAGGGTTGGAAAATGCATGGGAACAAATTGAGAATTTAGTGAGCACTAGCTGTCACTGTCACAGTCCACCATCTGGATATCAAAAATTTTACTTGTTCCTTCAATTTCCCTACACATTAAGCATAATCAGCTCCACCCCAAGAAACATAACTCCAAACCCTTCCAGCTGAAAGCCTGGGATTTCTGGGTGTTTTTAAGTGGTCCTTACATTAAATTTATATACAACTCCTTTTTGTCTGAAAAACTTTGAACTTTAAAATAATCAGTTTTCTGTCTTTCATGCTCCTAATAACAGTAGAACAGGGATGAAATAACCAAAATAAATAGTTCTATTTGGAAAGGAAAAGAATAAGTAAGTCTGCCTTAGGAAGCAACACAGTTTCCCTAGCCCACCTCTTACTTAAAAACAGATGGCAGCTGATAGAGTTTGGATGTTTGTCCCCTCCAAAGCTCATGTTGAAATGTAACCCCCAATGTTGGAGATGGTGCCTAGTTGGGGTCTTTGAGTCATGGGGATGGATCCTGTATGAATAGCTTGCTTTCATCCCATGGTAATGAGTGATTTCTCTCTCTTGTAGTTTGTACAAGAGCTGGTTGTTTAAAAGAGCATAGTATTTCTCCCCATCTCTCTTGCTCTCACTCACCATGTGATATTCCAGCTCCCCCTTTGTCTTCTGCCATGGTTGTATGCTTCCTGAAGCCCTCACCAGAAGCCATGCAGATACTGGTGCAATGCTGGTATAGTCTGCAGAACTGTGAGCCAAAATAAACCTTTTTTTTTCATAAATTGCTCAGTCTCAGGTATTCCTTTATAGTAAGGCAAAATGGACTAATACAGGAGTCCAACTATTTTCTTAAGACTTAAGCAGTGAAATTCCATTTTGCATATATTTAGTGCTGGGAAATTAGTACGTTCCTTATTTATTTAACTTTCAAACTGGTCTAAAACTAGTCATTAAACTCAAATTTCTTTTAGATCATTGTCTTACTCCATTTTCTGTTGCTATGTCTCAACACCTGAGATTGAGTAACTTATAAATAAAAGAAATTTATTTATTACATTTCTGCAGGCTATAAAGTCTAATATCTAAGGCTTGGCATCTGGTCAGCTTCTGGTGATTGCCTTGTGTTCCATCACATGATGAACGGCATCACAGAGTGAGACAGGTGCACTGAGAGCCAAACTGGCACTTATAAGAAATTTACTCTCGTGATAGCTAACCCATTCCCATGATAACCCATTAATCCACTAACCAATTAATCTATGAATGAATGACTTCATTCATGAGGAAACAGCCCTCATGTCCCAATCACTCCTTAAAGGCCCCACTTCTTAATACAGTTACATTGGGGAATACGTTTCAACATGAGTTTCAGAGGACACAAATATTGAAACCATAGCACTCATTACTTAAGAATCTGCACTATCTTTTAAGGGATAGGATATGAGGGCTTCTTTCCTTATCCCTCACTAAATTGCAAGCTAATTTAAGACTGCAGCATAAAAAGGAAAGTTCACACAATTAATCTGATCTTTACATTGATCTCTTATTCAAAGAAATAATTTTACTAGACCTGTGTGGTCTGAGACTTATTTAATCCTGTTACTTTCTATTTATAATTAATAACTGACTTTCTGAACCCTGAAAAGACCCAGATATCTAGAATCTTTATTTAACCTTTCCTGAAATAAATTTTCTAATGAGATATAATTCACATACCATACAATTCACCTCTTTAAGGTGTACATTTCATTGATTTTTAGTATTTTCACAAAGTTGTACAAAAATTTCCACTATTTTCACAGCCTCCAAAAAAAGCCCTATGTCCTATTATAGTCACTTTCTATGTTTTCTTTCCCCAGCTCCTGACAATCACACATGTATCTCTTTCTATTAATTTGTCTATTCTGTATATTTAATATAAATGGAATCATATAATAGGTGGACTTTAGTAATTGGCCTCTTTCATTTAGCATAATGCTTTCAAGATTGATCCATGTTTGAGTACACATCATGACTTCAATACTAACATTCTTCTTATGACTGAGAAAGTATATGTGTATGTATGTATATACAGTGTATGTATATACCACATTTTTAAATTTTATACATCAGTTGGTAGATATTTGGATTTCTGTCTCATTATTATGAATAGTGCTTCAATGAACATTTGTTTGTGGTTTTTGTGTGTATATTTTTACAAATGTCCTGGCTATGTACCTAAGTGGGGAGCTACTTGGTCATAGGGTAACTCTATGTTTAACTTTTTAGGAACTTCAAAACTGTTTTCCGGAGTGACTGCCGTAATTTACATTACCAATAGCAACGTGTGAGGGCTACAGTTTCTCCATATCTGGTCAACACTTGTTATTTTCCATGTTTCTTTCATTGCAGCCATCCTAGTTAATGGGTGTTAAGTATCTTATTGTGGTTTTAATTTACATTTCCCTAGTGACTAAATATATTAAGCATCTTTGTATGTGCTTACTGGTCATGTATATGTCTTTAGAGAAATGTCTAATGAAAATCTTTGCCCATTTTTATTTTTATTTTATTTTTTTGCTTGGCACCTTGCTTTTTCATTGATACTAAATTTTACATGTATATGGGGTACATGTGATATTTTGACACATGCACACAATGCATAATGATCAAATCAGGGTACTTAGGATATCCATCAGCTCAAACATTTATAATTTCTTTGAGAACAGGTCAAATCTTCTAGCTATTTTGAAATATAAAATAAATTATTCACTGTAGTCACCCTACTGTGCTATCAAATAGTAGAACGTATTCCTTCTAGCTAACTCTATATTTGTATCATCAATCAACTTTTCTTTATCCCTCCTCCACAATTCCCAGCTTTAGTAACCATCATTCTACTCTCTGCCTCCATGCAATAACTTGTTTAGCCCCCACATATGGGCAAGAACATGTGATATTTTTCTTTCTGTGCCTGGCCTATTTAACTTTAACGTAAAAACTTCTAGTTCCACACACGTTGCTGCAAATGACAGGATTTTATTCCTCTTTAATGGCTGAATAGTATCCCATTGTGTATATATGTCACATTTTCTGTATCTGTTGATCTATAGATAGACATTTCAATTGATTTTATATCTTGGCTATTATGAGCAGTGTTGCAGTTATAAACATGGTAGACCAGGTATCCCTTTGATATACTGATTGCCTTTCCTTTGAATAAATACCCAGTAATGGGATTGCTAGATTATATAGCCGTTTTATTTTTAGTTTTTTGCAAAGTCTCCGTACTCTTTATATTTCTCCCAATAGCATTCCTTTTTAATAACAGCCATTCTAACTGGGGCGAGATACTATCCCATTGTGGTTTTGATTTCCATTTCCCTGATGATTAGTGGTGCTGAGTATTTTTCATATACCTGTTGGTGTTTTGTATTTCTTCTTCTGAAAAAAGCCTATTTAGCTCATTTGCCCATTTTTGAAATTAGATTATATGGTTCTTTTTTTTCTTTTCTGTTGAGTTGTTTTGAGTTCCTTGTATATTCTGGATATGAGTACCTTGTTGAATGAATAGTTTGTAAATACTTTCTCCCATTCTATAAGTTGTCTTTTCACTCTGCTGATTATTTCCTTTGCTGTGCAGAAGCTTTTTAGTTCAATGCAATTTTATTGGTCTATGTTTTTGTTTTTTGTTGCCTGCACTTTTGAAGACTTAGCCTTAAAATCTATGCCTAGACTAATTTTCTGAAGCACTTCTCCTTCTTTTCTTCCAACAGTTTTATAGTTTCAGGTCTTACATTTAAGTTTCCAGTGAATTTTGAGTTGACTTTTATATATGGTGAAAGATTGGGTTCTAGTATCACTCTTCTGCATATGAATATTCCATTGTCTCAGAACCACTTATTGAAGAAAATGTTATTTTCTCAACATGTGTTCTTTGTGCCTTTGTCAAATATTAGTTGCCTGAAAATACATGGATTTGTTTCTGCATTTTCTATTGTGCTCTATTAGTCTATGTATCTGTTTTTATGCCAATACCATGCTGTTTTGGTTACTACTGTAGTATGTTTTAAAGTCAGATAGTGTGATGCCTTCAGCTTTGGTTTGCTTAGTATTGCTTTGGCTATTTGGGCTGTTTTGTGTTTTCATACTAACTTTATGATTTTTTTTTCTGTTTATATGAATAATATCATTGGTATTTTATACAGATTGCATTGAATCTATAGGTTTCTTTGGGTAGTATGGCTATTTTAACAATATTAGTTATTCCAGTCCATGACCAAGAGTCGTTTTTCCATTTGTTTATTGTTTTCTTTAATTTCTTTCCCCAGTGCTTTATAGTTTTCTTTTTTTTTTCAAGATGGAGTCTCGCTCTGTCACCCAGGCTAGGTTGATCTCGGCTCACTGCAGCCTTCGCCTCCTGAGTTTATTCTCCTGCCTCAGGCTTCTGAGTAGCTGGGACTACAGGCACTTGCCACTATGCCCAGCTAATTTGTGTATTTTTAGTAGAGATGGGGCTTCACCATGTTGCCCAGGCTGATCTCAAACTCCTGACCTTAAGTAATCTGCCCACCTTGGCCTCCCAAAGTACTGGGATTATAGGCATGAGCCACCGCACCCAGCCTTATAGTTTTCATTGTAGAGGTATTTTACCTTTTTGATTAAATGTATTAATAGGTATTTTACTTTTTTGTTTGTAGCTTTTGTGAATAACATAGATTTCTTGATATTTTTAGCTAGTTTGTTATTGGTGTATAGGAATGCTATTAATTTTTAAGGTTGATTTTGTATCATATTACTTTACTGAATTTATCAGTTCTATAATTTTTATTTTTATTTTTTTGGTGGAGTCTTGAAGCTTTCTCTAACTATAAAAACATGTCTTTGGCAAAGATGGACGATTTGACTTCCTCTTTCCCAATTTGGATGCCTTTTATTTCTTTTGCTGTATTGGTCTGGCTAGGACTTTTGCTCCAATATTAAATAAATGTAGTGAAAGTGAATATCTTTGTTTTGTTCCAATTCAGGAAAAACTTTTTGCACTTCCACATTCAGCATGATGTTAGCTTTGAGTTTCATATATGGCTTTTATTATTTTGAGGCATGTTCCTTTTATGTCTAACAGAATAATGTTAACCCCGCTGAACGATTTAGGAAAATTTCCACTATCATCAATTTTTTGGAATAGTTTGAGAATTGGTATTAAGTCTCCTTTATAAGTTTAGTAGATTCATCCGTAAAGCCATTTGGTCCTGGGTTTTTCTTTTTAGGGAGACTATTTATTACTGATCTAATCTTATTTTTCATTATTAGTCTGTTCAAGTTTTCTACTTCTTCTTTGTTCAATCTTGGTGGATCGTATGTGGAATTTATCCCTTTCCTTTAATTTTTAAAAATTTGTTAGCTTATACTTGTTTATTATAGTCTCTAATGCTCCTTTGTATTTCTGTGGGTTAAGTTGCAATGTCATCTTTTTCTTCTCTGCTTTTGAGTCTTCTCTCTTTTTTTCTTTATTAGTCTAGCTAATGGTTTATTGATTTTTTAATTTTTTCATTTTATTTTCTTTTATTTTTTAAGTTCTGGGGTACATATACAGGATGTGCAAGTTTGTTGCATAGGTAAATATATGCCATGGTGTTTTGCTGCACCTATCAACCTATCACGTAGGTATTAAGACCTGCATGCATTAGTTCTTTTTCCTAATGTCCTAAAAGCCAACTTTTCATTTTGTTGATTCTCTGTATTTTTGTTTCCAATTTCTTCAGTTCTTCTCTAATCTTTATTATTTATTTTCTTCTACTAATTTTAGGTTTGGTTTTCTCTTGCTTTTCTAGTTCCTTGTGGAGCACTAATAGGTTATTTAAAATCTTTCTACTTTTTAGATGTAGTTGTTCATTGCTATAACATTTTTTCTATTAGCACTGCTTTCGCTGTATCCCATAAATTTTGGTATGCTGTGTTTTCATTTTCGTTTGTTTTAAGGATTTTTTATTTTCTTATTTTTTTCATTAATTTGATGTTTATTCAGGAGCACATTAATTTTTTTATTTATTTGTATAGTTTACAATTTTTTATTGGAATTTACTTCTAGTTTTATTTCATTGCGATCTAAGAAAATACTTAATACATTTTGTATTTTTAAAAATTTGTTGAGAATTGTGTTGTGGACTAACTTTTGGTCTGAAATATCCAGGAGAATGTTCCAATGTGCTGATGAGAAGAATGAATATTCTTCAGCTGTTGCGTAAAATGTTCTCTTAATGTTTGTTTAGTCCCTTCGGTCTATCATGCAGATTTAGTCCTATGTTTCTCTGTTGATTTTCTGTATAGATCATCTGTCCAATGCTGAAAGTCAGGTATTGAGTTTCCCAGGTATTATTACATTAGGGTCTATTTTTCTATTTAGCTCTGCTAATATTATCTGTATGTACCTCAGTACTCTGGTGTTGGGTGCATGTATGTTTACAATTGTTACATCTTCTTGGCATATTGATCCCTTCATCATCATATAATTATTTTCCTCTTTTTATTATTTTTGACTTAATATCTTATTATTTTTCTGATATAAATACAGGTACTCCTGTAGACTTTTGGTTTCTTTTTACATGAAATATTTTTTCCATCCTTATACTGTGTATGTGTCTTTACCAGTGAAGTAAGTTTGCTGTAGGCAGCATATAATTGGATTTATATATTTAATCCATTCAATTCATCTGTATATTTTAACTGGGGAACTTAAACCACTTACATTAAACATTGTTATTGATAGGGGAAGACTTACTCTTGTCACCTTTTAAATTGTTTCCTGATTGTTTGCATATGTTATTATTGCCTCTTCTATTATTTACCTTTTTTTTTTTTTGTACTGATAGTGTTTGATTCCTTTCTCTTTGTCATCTGATTAGCTGTTTTACCAGTGAGTTTTATTTTCTTTTTTTTTAATATTAGGTATCATCCTTTTACCCCACATATAGAACTTCTTTAAGCATTTCTTTAGAAGTCATTCTGGTGGTTATGAATTCCCTCAGGTTTTGCTTGTCTTAGAAAGACTTTATTTCTCCTTCATTTCTGAAGGTTGGCTTTGGTAGGTATGGTATTCTTGGCTGGCAGCTTTTATTCTTTCAGCACTTTGAATATATCCTGTGCTCTCCTGGCCTATAAAGTTCTGCTGAGAAATTCACTGTTAGTATGCTGGGAACTACCTTATATGTAACTTGACCCTATTACTATTTTTAGAATTCTGTCTTTGATTTTTGACGGTGTGCCTTGTAGAAAACCTTTTTGAGTTGAATCTATTTGGGCTTTCCTTGAGCTTCCCATATCTGAATGTTTCTGTCTCTAGCAAGACTTGGAGGCTATCAGCTATTATTTCATTAAATAAGTTTTCTATGCTTTTGCCTATCTCTTCTTCTGGAACTCCCCAAAATAGAGTATTTGGGTGCTTTATAATGTCCCACATGTCATGTAGGCTTTCTTCATTTTTTTTTATTTTTGTCTGACTGGGTTATTTTAAAAGACGTGTCTTCACATTTAGAATTGTTTTCTTCTTGATTTAGATGATTGTGGAAGCTTTCAACTGTATTTTTTTATTTTATCTTTTGAATTCTTCACTTTTCAAATTTCTGTTTTGTTCATTTTTATGATATCTGTCTTTGTTGAATTTCTTATTGAAATAATAAAATTGTTTCTGATTTATTTGTATTGTTTATCTGTGTTCTCTTATATCTCACTGAGTTTTAAAAATATTATTTTAAATTATTTCTTAGGTAGTTTATAGTTTCTTTTCATTGGGATCTCTTAATGGATAATTATTATACTCCTTTGGGGTGTAATGTTTTCATGCCTTTTTTATGTTTCTTGGGTTCTTAGGTTAATATGTCCCCATCTGGTATGACAGCTGCTTTCTGTCAAATTTATGGATTGGCTTTTGTGAAAAAAAGACTTTTATTTAGATGTATCTATAATAATGGTTTGGTAGGGTGCTTTGACTTTGATTCTGGATGGGTGCAATAGTGTAATCTTCATATGATTTATTCAGCTGTAATCAACAACACTAACATCTGTGATTTCCTTTGTGGCTTAGGCCCAGTGAAGAATGTGCTGAGTCTTTGCTGAGGATAAGGATGCCATGTGGGCTGGTTCTAGGGCACCAGTGGTGGTAGTTTCAGGCCAGGAAGGCCAGTCCTCATGACCCTGGTGCATATGTGGGTGCCAGCAGTGATGGCTTCAGGTAGCTGGTCTTCAGACCTCTAGGTAGCATGCTTGTGTGCTGATGGTGGCAGGGAGAGGCTGATTGTGAGGTTCTTAGTCCCCTTGGAAGTGTGCATGATGTTGGCAATGGCAGTAATGGCAGAAGATCGCTCTTTGGGCTCTTGCATGGTTGACCCATATGACAGAGGGTTGGGTGAGCTGGAATCTGGACCCCTAGTTAGCACACATTGATAGTTGCAGATAGGGCAGGCCCATCGTCAGACTTCCGAATGCTGTGCATGGGTGCCCATAAAAATTTCTGTCCATTTTTAATTTGTTTAAATCTTTTTAAAAGTCTTTATAATATTCTGAACACAAATTTCTTATCAGGTATATAATTTGCAAATATTTTCTCACACTTTATGAGTCTTCTCATTTGCTTGACAGTCTTTTGAAGCACAAACTTTTAATTTTGATGAAGTTATTTATCTATTTTTCTCATAACCTCTGCTTTTAATATTATATCCAGGAAATCATTGCCTAATTCCGAAGGGCAAAATGATATATTCCTATGTTTACTTTGAAGACATTCATATTTTTAGCTTTTACAATTAGGAGTTTTGAGTTATTTTTTATATGATATGACATGGACATCTAAATTTATTATTTTGTATGCTAATAAACAATTGTCCCAGAACTATTTGTTAAAAATATTGTTGTTTTCTCTGAATTATCTTGGCCTTCTCATTGCAAATCAATTAACCACAAATGTAAGAATATATTTCTGGAGCCTCAATTCTATTCCATTGATCATATGTCTATACTTATCCCAATGTTACACATTCTTAATTATTATAGTTTTAATAAGTTTTGAAATTGGAAAGTCTGAGTTCTCCAAGTCTGTTCCTTTTTCATGATTCTTTTGGCTATTCTGACTGGATCCTCTGAATTTTTCATATGGAACTTAAGATTAGATTATCAGTTTCTACACAAAGGCAGATGGAACTTTGACAAATATTATATTTTGAATTAATAGGTGAAATAGACTAACTGATATCTTAACAATATCTTCCAATCCACAAACACAGAATATCTTTTAATTTATTTTTTCTTTATTATTTCAATAAAAATTTGTAGTTTTCACTATATAATCCTTGAAATTATTTTGTTAAATTTATTTCTAAATATGTTATTCTTTTTAATGATAATATAAATTGTTTTCATTTCATTTTAGAGCATTTGTTGCTACTGTATAGACATGTAATTGATTTCTGTATGTTAATCTCATATCTTACAATTTTACTGAACTTATTTATTAGCTTTAGTGTTTTTCTTACTGCTTTCTTAGGATTTTCTACATACAAAATTATGCCCTCTGTGAATAGATACACTTTTACTTCTTTCTGTCCAACATAGACAAATTTTATTTCTTTTTCTTGCCTAAGTACTTTGTTTAGAGTCTGGTTAGAGCTTCTAGTAAAATACTGTATAAAAGTAATAAGAGGAGATAATCTGGTTTTATTCCTGATCTTAGGGGAAAAGATTTCAGTCTTTCATTATTAACTGTGATGCTAGCTGGGTTTTTCATATATGCCCATTAGTAGGTTGAGGAAGTTTCCTTTTTTTATTACTTTGTCAAGTGTTTGTATCATATAAGGACAATACATTTTTGTCAAATGCTTGTTCTTTATATATTGAAATGATTCAGTTGTTTGTACTCCTTATCTCATTTTTCTTAGCCCTTACTCTATTAACATGATATAGTAGGGGGATTTTCACATGGTGAACCAAACTTACATTCCTAGAACCAATCAGACACAGTGTTTAATCTTCTGAATTCAGTTTACTACTATTTTTTGATGATTTTTGCATTTGCATTCATGAGAAGTTGGCTTTTCATGAGATGTTTTTGTCTCATTTTGGTAACAGGATAATACTGGCCGCATAGAATAAGAGAGAAAGTTTTGTTCCTCTTTTACCTTTGTAACAACTTATACGACTCTTTTAAATATTTTTTAAAATCAAAAGTTAATTATTTGAAATATTTAAAAAATATACATATAATTTACCAGTGAATACATCTCTGGTCTAGAATTCTCTTTATGGTAATAATAGGTCAGCTGCTGTGAGGAGAATAAATTGAAATGGTGAAAGAATGGAAGTAGAAAAAAAATTTAAAAGCGATGTAGTTATTCCGAGAAGAGATGATAGTGGCTTTAAATAAAATACTGGCAGTGGAGATGGAGAGAAGTAGGCACCTTTAGGATTTATTTCAGATGCAGAGCCAACAGTACTTCCTGACACATAGGATGCTCAGGATAAGAGGAAGACTAGACTTGAGGATCTTGTGTAGAATTTTGATTTGAGCAATTGGGTGAATGCAATTGCCACTTATTGGAATAGAAAAAAAATTAGGAGAAAAGCAGATGGCAAAGAACAGATGAAAATATCAACACTTATGACCATTTTAAGTTTTAAATAACTTTTTACTTCTAAAGTGTAGTCATAAATAGGCAGTCAGGTGGATAGATCTGGTTCCTTTTAGAGGTTATGCTTATATCTTTCAATCTGGTTACTATCAGCAATTAGATTATATTTTACCTTGAGGCTACATAATATTTGCTAGGACAACAATACAAATAGAGGGGTAGGGTGCTAGGGAGCATGCCTTGGGTCTTTTCAATATTCAGAAGACAAACAGAGAAACAGGAGCTAGTAAAGGAGAGCAACAAAGAGGCCAATATTACAGACAAAGAAAGAAGAGCGTGCGTCACTGAAGCCGAGAGGAGATTGTTTTGTAAAAGAAGTGTTGACCTGTTTTAAATATGGCTGACAGATCAAAAGACACAAGCTTACTGTTCTTATTGGCATCATCATTTTCGGATCTAGTCTACACAGTTGAGTATGAAAGGGTCTTCTCTATCTGGCTTCTTTGTCTAATTGCATTATCTAGGACTTCCAGTATGGTGTTGAAAGCAATGGAGAGAGGAGATATCCATGCCTTGCTCCTGACCTCAATGGGAAAGCTTCTAGTTTCTGACAGTTAGGGATGTTGTTACCTATAGGACTTTTGTAGATATTCTTTATTGAGTTAAAGAGGATTCCCCTATTCCTGGTTTGCTGAGAGTTTTTTTCATGAATGCGTATTTTTTTTCACATGCTTTTTCTGTACCTATTGATATAATCATGTGATTTTACTTTTCTTGGCTATTTATGTGGCAAATTTTATTAATTGATTTTCAAACATTGGTCCAGGCTTGCATACCTGTGATAAATGCTAATAATTGGGGTGTATAATTTCTTTTATCCTTACTGAATTCAATTAGCTAATATTTTTCAGAGGATATTTTGGGATCTTTCTGAGATAATCTAGGTAGTCTGTTAAAACTTCATTTGTTATATGACAAAATAGGCTGTGCTTTGTTTGTATTTCTTGCCACAGACTTGGATCTCTGGTTCTTTACAATGCAAAATTATATTATAGAATTACATTATAAGTTGAGCAATAAGAGTGCTCAATAAGAATTTATAAACAATTTAAATATGTTATATGTTTGGTACTAAGCGCAGTTCTTGAGAAGTTATTCATTGGTTTTAAACCACAACTCAATGTTATAATCTAATAAAAACCATAACAACTTTATCACTAATAATATAATTACTAAAGTTAGCTTCAGACTTTTTCTTTTGCCTAATCCTTGGAGTACAGAGCCAAATTACCATATTTTTAAATTATTTGGAAAAAAATTCCTTCAATATGATGATATTTTCTGCTCCATATAAAGTTAAAATTATTGGTTCTAACTTTCAAATATTTAAGCTCTACATTCAATTTTGTTGTATAAAATAAAATATTTGCATGATTTAAAAATTAAGTCTATAAAAAAAGGAATATAAACCAGATAGTATTCTACTTCCTTCTACTCATTCCTCCGCCTATATATGGCACTTACAAAATATGGTTTATGTATTTTATTTTTAAATAGTATGAATTGACAAAGTATGCATAGATTGGTATTCACCTCCAGCTACTTAAATGAACAGTGCAATATTAAGATTGTTTTCTCCAACTTGATTTTTCATTCAAAAATAAATCTTGAAGATGACTTCATAGGATTATAAAGATAGGTTCCTCTTGCTTTTTGCCATTGTATGTTACTAAATTATAAAAATAATGTAACAATAATACTCTCCACTATTTTAATGGATTGTATTACGTACATAAATTAACTTCAAGAGAAGTGATGTTTTTATACAGCTGATATTCCCTGTGTAAGAACACAGGAACTTTCAATGTGTGTTTCATTCAGAAGTGTTTCATAGTTTAGCTCGTACGGATTTTCCATATGTCTTCTTTTCACTTATATATTTTTATTCTATTTATTTTTAGCAAATAGATTCTTTTCTTTCTTTTAACTGTTTTTTTCTTTGTATATAAAAATATATGTATTTTTGTTTGTTGTTTTCTTAGCCAGCTACTTTACTAAATTCACCTAGTTTTAATGACAGTTTTTTCTTGATTCTTTTGTAAAGTTTTTAGATATATAATAACAACAAATATAGTTTGACCTCTTTTGTTTTAATTCTTGTACCTCTAATTCCTTTGCCTAGTTTATTTTCATTGGCTGAATATATATTGTGAATTATGTACAAAAGTCTCTTAATATAAATGTTTCTACCTAGATATATCTATTTATGTCTGTAACAACTACATTATTATTAGGTTGTTAAATACTTTATGTTCTTAATAGTTGGTTCATATCTGTCTTAGATTGAAAGAGATACTAAAGTCTCAGATTGTTAATTTGTGTCTGTCTGTTTTCTATCATGTTTTCTGTAATTTCTGCTTTATAAAATTGTTGCATGGTAACTAGGGGCCTCAATGCCAGGGTATTTTTTCTTTCCTGTTTCTTAAGACATATAATTTTGTCAGAATTTGCATCTATTTTGGCCGTTTGGGGTTGGTTTTTCCCAAATACACAGTATCTGTTAATAGTAGATTTTAAATTATAATATAAATTTAGTAAATTCCCATTGCTTCATTTTTTCCCCCTTCAGGAATTATTATTAAATATAAATTGGATCTTTTTTGTTTATGTTAGAGAACTCACATTTATGTCTTATGTATTTTATTTTAAAAAATTCCATTCCTGTTGTTTACTCACTTTTGTGTTTTCTCTAATTTAATCTTCATTTCTGAAGTATTTTCTTTTAATATTTAAATATTTCTTAAATTATTTCAGTACTTTCATGTAAGTTCTTTTCTGCAATCGCTTTACTATGTTTATTTAATTGTAATGTATGTTATTGCTTCAATCTTTCACTTTTTAAGCTTATTTTAAAATATTATATTGCAACCTCAATCTGCTTTGTTGTTATTTTACTTTACATATATGCATATACAATCTCATGACAGATCATGATATATCATAAATCATCTCATAATTTATCCAAGAATAACTGTTAACATTTGTACTGATAGTGCAAAACCAGTTGGGGTTGGGGGGTGTAAAGCTGGCATTTCAGCAAGAATCAAGACAGTGACATGACACAGAACTAGTAGCCATTGTATTCTTCACTATTATAATTTACTAAAATTTAAAAAAATTAAAATTCCGTTTCTTTTTTCTTTTTTTTTTTGAGATGGAGTCTCACTCTGTCGCCAGGCTGAAGTGCAATGGCGCGATCTTGGCTCACTGCAACCGCCCCCTCCCGGGTTCAAGCAATGCTCCCACCTCAGCCTCCCTAGTAGCTGGGATTACAGATGCCGGCCACTATGCCCAGCTAACTTTTTGTATTTTTAGTAGACACGGGGTTTCACCATGTTGGCCAGGCTGGTCTCAAACTCCTGACCTCATTATCTGCCTGCTTTGGCCTCCCAAAGTGCATGGATTACAGGCTTCAGCCACCACGCCTGGCCAAAATTCTGTTTGAGTCTTTGATGAAGCAATAACAAATATGAATATTATTAAATGTCAACCAATTAATACATACCTTTTTAATACTCTGACTAAATCAGTGATACACCTGAAACACTTTTACTTATCAAAGTACAATGGTGTTCTTGAGGAGAAGCACTTGTGACTTTGTGTAAGTTGCAAGCTTAACTAATTACTTTTTTAATGGATCACCATTTTCACTAGCAAAAACCATGACAGGAAATTATGGTCATTCATACTTGGGTATTTAATAGAAATATTTTTGAAAATTAAGGAAGTTCGCTTGTAATTTCAAGAAAAACAACTCATTATTTTTGCTACTCATAAAAATTTGTACTTTCAAGAGAGCATTAAAATGATAAAAACTTGATATCTATCACCAAAATCTTGACAGCTTCCTAACATTTAAGGATTTTAGAGTGAGATTAGTGATATATTAAAAATGTGATTAAAAAATATTACATGGTGAAAGGTGTCAATATCTGGAAATCCTGCAGAACTAAGTGACCCAATATTTTCCAAATGATCAATTTATGATGTTAGAAAATCATGCATAGGTTAATGATTCATTATAAGTGGATCCCAACAGTCTCTCCTAATTTAGGGGCTTTGCTCTGAAAGAAAACATTTGTTGTGTCATTTGGAGAGTTCAGAGATCCCTAAACACCTCAGCACAATTTCACTTTTCCTCAGAATCCTCAATTCACCCATTCATTAGAACTTGGAACCCTCAACCCATTGTCTCCATCGAGAACATTGTTCTCATATTTTTCCACTGCACCCTGGAATGAGTTTCTGTTGATGATTTAGAATTTTTAGCTCTCAGGAACTTATGAATTTCCTTTATTTTCTGTATTAGTCAATTTTCATACTTCTATAAAGAATATCTGAGACTGGGTAATCTACGAAGGAAAGAGGATTAATTGATTCACAGTTCTGCATAGCTGGGAAGGCCTTGAGAAACTTAAAATCATGGCGGGAGGCAAAGGGGAAGCAAGTACCTTCTTCACAAGGTGGCAGGAGAGAGAGAAAGAGCAAGAGAAACTACTAGGAGAAACTGCCACTTACAACATCATCAGATCTCATGAGAACTCACTATCACGGGAACAGCATGGAGGAAACTACCCCCATGATCCAGTCACCTCCCACCAGGTCTCTCCCTTGACATGTCGAGTTTACAATTCAAGATGAGACTTGAGTGGGGACACAGAGCCAAACCATATCCTCTTTCTTCTGTTTTCTTTTATACCATTGCTAATACTACACAGTTAATTTGAATTATTTATTCTACTTGTATTTTGGAGATTATGAGCATGCTTTGTCACTTAATATTTTTCTAGATGTTATCCACATTTATTTTACTTTCCTGATAGATATGTTTATTTTTATACAAATGTTCAGAGACATTTTAAAACTGTTCTCCTGCCACATCTTCCCCAAATTCTTCTTCCCAAAACAATGTCTATTAGAGAAAATAGTGAATATGTCTGGCTTGCCCAATCTTCATTTACTAAAACCAGTGCCAATATTCCACTGGAAATTACTGCTAGTTTTAAATTATATCTGTACTTTTGGTCAAGAGTAAGTTTTTTTTTTAACTTTTAAGTTCAGGGGTACATGTGGAGGTTTGTTATGTAGATAAACTTGTGTCATGGGGGTTTGTTGTACAGATTTTTTTGGTCACCCAGGTAATAATCCTAGTACCCAATAGTTATTTTTCCTGATCCTCTGGGAGTAAGTTTCGACTAGTTGGTGAACATGCCTTACCTGGGATTAAATATTTTAAATACTATTCATGGAAACAATTGACTTTGTGTGATTATTATTATTTTTATTTAGATAAGTTTAGCTTCCAGAAGAATGCTTCAAAAGAAAGGATAAATGGATTAAATGTAGACTGACTTTTTGCTATCTAAAAATGGGTATTTTTCTCCACTGTTAATGAAATTAAATTATACCAGAATTTTGCTACTTCATCAAATTTTCATATGAAAGTAGAAATCATTCCTTTGAAAAAAAGAGCATTATTCAATCAGATATAATGAAAGAACTACTCAATTTGCAGCATAATTCTTAAGTTTTAGGAGCTAATGTTTTTACACAACAGCTCAAAATAAAACTGAAATATGCAAACACAATCTGTGATATCCTTGAGTAATGACATCATCTGTCTACATCTTTTTCCACTTGAGATTTAGTTAAGATTGACATTCAGAAAGCACTCTATAAAGGTGTTTTGATTTACTAAGAGACCTACTTGAATTAGTGAAAACTACATTGAAACACATATACTGAATATATGATGTATAAATTCATGTGCAGTTGAAACATTTATAAATAGAGTAAAAATTGTGATTCATAGCAGGAAAGTTCTATGCTGCATCTTAGAAATGTAATTGGAAATACAACTGAGCTCATTGATTGACTTGTGTGTGAAAATGGTAGACTCCCTACTTAATCAGATTCCAGATGGAACAACTTAGTCTGAAAAATACGATTTTTTATGTAAGCAACATTTTTTTGGAAAAATTGATTAGTAAAAGCACATCATTTACATAAACAGATAAGCTGTCAAATGCAATCCTTTAGGTCCAGTCTTTTTTAAAATAAAAATTCATCGTACTGAATCTAAAATATCAAAGGAAAAAAGATGATTATCACTGGTAACTTCCAGCTGAAGCTATATCTTATTTAATTTATGTTTTATATGTATATCCACATATCTGAATTTTTAAGCAAGTGGAAAAACGTGGAAGAAAAAAATGTATAAAATGTGAAAGGACCAGAAAGATAAGAAAAGAAAGAAAGAAGAAAAAAAGAGAGGCTTAAGTAAAATAGCATGCTGTGAATAAGTCTTCAGCCAAATGAAGCAAAAACAAAATTAAAAAGGTTTCGTATGGGAGGAAGTTCATAGGTTTATAAAAGAGGAAAAATGGAGATGGAAGGAAATTCAGCAAAAAGAAGCCACAAGTGAGAGTGCCATAATAGATTTCTCAGAGATTGGCCAAACCAACCCTGAAAACGAATAAAAGAAAAAATGAAGGCCAAATATATGGTGGACCCTATTCCTTGATCTCTTCTTATCCTATCTCCACAGAGGGTTATCTGGAAACAAAATGTTTTCTTTCATTTTCACTCCAAACACAGAAACCATTTCAACCACCTCAGATTTTTTTTTTTAAACAAATTGAAATGTATCACTTTCAAGCATAAATAGTGATTATATTTAACTATATTTGTAAATTATTTCCAATAGATTCTTAGGCCACCAGCTTTATTGAAGAGATTATAATTTCATTTTAAACATATAAGTGGTTGTGATATGCAGGGTAAGTTTATTTTAATAAGGTTAAATATTTCAGGGGCAGGGGGAGGGACAGCATTAGGAGAAATACCTAATGTAGAAAATGGGTTGATGAGTGCAACAAACCACCGTGGCACATGTATATCTACGTAATAAACCTGCACATGTTGCACATGTACCTCAGAACTTAAAGTATAATAAAAAAAAATTCCTACCATTGAAACTGTTTCTTTAGATTAAGTCACTGTCTCTAGAAGGCCTCAATAGAAATAAAAAAAACATTATGAAGGATAAACATTTACATTAACATAAAATCATCGATATAATTAGGAAATAGGGTGGAGGAAGATGATAATAACTTCATGAGAGCAAGAAGAAACAAAGTTCTTTGAAAAGCAGAAGGGGTAAGACAAATCTTGAATTATCTAGTGCTAGTTTACTGGGGATGGAGAATATCAATGTGTGTCTAGTTGATTGGGCAAACAAGGAATGCCCTCATGCTATAGAATCCTTGGCTATTCTTTTGTTGCTTACCTGTCTTCTAAATGCCTTCACTTCAACTTTGAAGCTTCCTCTCTTGTAAGTTTATAATATCAATGAACTGTTTCATTTTCTTCTATTCTCTTTTTGATGCTTAAGGGTACTTTGTAAATATTTTACCCATATAAGAGCCATTTCCTTTGTCATAACAATTTTTCCTAGGGCTTTTAATGATTCCTTTTTATCCATTATCTTGTTAACAGGTTTTTGGTGTTGAACAATGTATTTTATACATTATGATACCCAATATATATTTGTTAAATAAATGAACTGAAGCAATAACGTTCATAATCACTATGAATGTCTAGTATAACATTTTAGTGATTTGAAAATATAAACTTCAGTTATACTAAAAGAGATAAGATACGATATACAAAAGGACTTAGTATAGTGCCTGGAGCATAGATGTTTATTTCTATATAGGTGATCCAGTAAGTCATTTATTATGAAGTGGTGAAAAAAATTATTACTTTAAAGTTATTTTTGATCTCTCCAACCAAAGCCTATTATTTTGATTATCATGAATTTTGCTGCCTCTGTTGAACATCTGTGAAGTGTAACACAGTACTAGGCAAACATAAAAAGTCAATAATAAATTTATATTGATTAGGCATATTCATAAACATAGATTTTGTATTTGTTTTCTTAACAAGTTAATTTCTGCAGGATCATAATACATTTTAATCCTTCATATATTTATTAATGTAATATGCTGAGTATTCCTAGTGTCATATACCCAGTTTGTACTGCTAATGCATGTTTATTAAACTTGACTTTTTAGATTTGGCATCTAACATTTTGTTGGTGTAGATTAGAGTTGAGATTAATAAAACAAGGGATTAACTTTATTGTTGGGTCAAGTATGGCAAGAAGAAGCCCATAATGATAAGAAGTCACAGGTAAGGAAATTGAAGCAGGAAGACTTTTGGCACTGAGAGGTTCTGGGGGGTCCAAGAGAGATCATTAATTTATAGTGTCTCTTCTTTAAAGGCAAGCACACAGAGGGCTCTTGGAATATATCAGTAAACAAATCTTTACATTTGGGTGGTACAAGTATCTAGTAATAATTTACTGAAGATTTATTTGGCCATAATTCATTACCTAACATTCTAAATAAAAACTTGTAAGTACTGTAAAGGTAATGTCTAAGGAGATTAAAGCCACAAAACATATCAAACCATTTCAAATAAAGCAGAAGTTACAACTATGGGGGTAATTTTTGAGGCTTGTTGAATCTATAAAAATATCTTAACCTTTCAAAATAAGGATAAAAGATGTAGAACTATAGGGATATTTTTGAGATCTTTCCCAGCTCTTAAATTCTAGGGTTCTAGAATCTTATAAATAGACTATGTTTAAAGATCAGCACAGCACAGACAAATATTTTGCTAAGAGCAAAGAATTAAACTGTGGGGCCGAAGAAAAGAAAATTCAAATAAACGTCATCCTGGTGTCCTCAAACCAAACACTTAGTGGATATAAACTTAAATTAGTACTAACAATCTAAATTTCATGATCTTTCCACAAGCTTCTACAATAGAATCTAAACTTTGTAATCTCTCGATTTAATATTGCTTGAAATCCTTAAGGTTATTTTAACAAATATCAATCAGGTACAGAACCCAAAAAATTCCTTTTTTTTTCTTTTTTTCTTTTTAGTCCTAGTTTCCTTCTCGTTGATGCTCTTGACTCAGGGAGTCACTAGAGGATGCCTCACTGTTCTCACTGCCATTGGTGCTTTCCAGAGGATAATGACCAAGTGTGCTTCCTCCCTATTACCTAAAAGTTGCCAAAACATTTCCACAAATAAGTGTGAGGTATCTGGTCACATTTTATCATTTAATCCTTAATAGTTACTCCTCCTTACACACACACACACACAACCAAGGTTTTATCAATGGAAACAATTTCTTTATCTTAGATCTCTAACCCTCAGTTTATAAGAATTTGAAACCATTTCAAGAGACTTGGCAAGAAACTAAGGCCATTCTATTGACTAGCTTCTCCATGAACCAAATTCCCTAATAATGTCTTTATCCTTTTCTCTAAAGTGAAAGCCTTCACTAAAATCTCTTTTTAAAAATTCTCACTATTTTATTTGAACATTGGTACAGCTGGTAGGCCATATTATCATAATAACCAACTACTTGTTGTTACTGACAACTAATTGTTGGGTGTCAACTTATTAGACAAGACTATTTCAACTGCAAGCAACATAAAAACGATTTAAGCGGACATCGGGGAAAATAAAGTCTGGCTGATAACGATGTGCAGAGATTCAAGCAAAGTTACTGGGATATAGATCGTCTCTTTATGGATTGGATTTTCTGTATTCTATCTTGACTTACTTCTCTAACAGCATTTCTCAACATTATGAGAGTCATCTCAAGGCTTCTACCAACTAGTTTAGCAACCCTGATAAGGATAGAAATGATCTTTCCTAATAGCTCCAGCAAAGGCCTAAAACTGAGTGCTATTGGCCTTTTTGAGTTACAAGACCATCCATGGTTCACAGGTCAATTGTTGTGTTCAAAGGAATAATATGCCCTGAATGAGTAGGCTTGGTTCTCCTTAAATCGGTAGTTGAAATTAGCTATACAAAAATCACATGAACTGAGTGAAGAGAAAGAAGGCATTCCGCATTAGAAAACTGAGGTGCAGGCCAGGCACGGTGGCTTACACCTGTAATCCCAGCACTTTGGGAGGCCGAGGCGGGTGGATCACCTGAGGTCAGGAGTTCAAGACCATCCTGACCAACATGGTGAAACACCGTCTCTACTAAAAATACAAAAATTAGCAAGGTATGGTGGTGCAGGCCTATAATCCCAGTGACTTGGGAGGCTGAGGCATGAGAATTGCTTGAACCCAGGAGGCGGAGTTGCAGTGAGTCAAGATCGCGCCATTGCATTCCAGCCTGGGCAACGAGAGCAAAACTCGGTCTCAAAAAAAAAAAAAAAAAAAAGAAAGAAAGAAAAAGAAAACTGAGGTGCACATAACAAAAGAAATGGTAATGGACAACAGGCAACTATGTTCACCAGTGTTGATCAAACTCCTATTTTAGTATCTTCACCTTTTCTTTACCAATCAATAAATTGTATTGTTTACAGATGAGGAGGGAAAAGGAATAAATAAGAAAAGAAAAATAATGAAAGTTCACATTCCTGCTTACGAGATTTTCTCAATTCATATATCTGTGGCCAAGACTGTACCCTGTCCTTTGCACTGCCTTTGAAAGGACACAGACATAATTTCAATAAACATGTTTTCACCTTTCCCAGCATTTGGCCTTCGTAGCTTTATATCATCAGTGTAAATATTATAGGAATTGTAATGGCCATTTGCACAGGGAAGAAAACCTGGTATTGTGTGCTGGTGGAATATCAATTCTAGAGACAAACAGAATATAACCTCAGCATGTTACCTCAATACCTCAGCAAATATCACACTTTCTGAAGAATGTCATAAGCAGATATCTCTTCCAGATTAGAAACCCTCTTCCAGGTTAAGGTTAAAAAGTGTGAGAAAATTTCCCATGGTATCTTCATTACCCATAGTAGAAAACTGTTAGGAAAAGTATCTTTTTTTTTTTAATTTTTATTTTTAAGGGAATGAGCACAGAGCTTCCATGCCTTTCATGGGTGTGGCATCCTCCAGAAACCTCCAATTGTCCAGCTGTCCAGAGGCTCTGAGAAACAACTTTTTGTAAGTTTATAGAATATAACATCTTGGTAAGAGTTGGAGATTTATTTATCTTCTCCATTGACATCTTTGTTTACTGTTAAGTGTAAGATACAGAGGAAGGAAGTACAGGCTTGTGAGGACAATCCAAACACTAGTCCCAGATCTGCTAAGGTCTATACATGTACTTAGTGCAAGTAACTCTAACAGTTTATTTCAGCCTCTTCATATTAACAGATAGTAATAACTCGCCTTTTTATAACATGGTTCTTAAAAGAATGAAATATTGCTATGACCACCCATTGAAAAATTATAAAGTGTTTTATGAAGGCAAGGTAGCACTTTATTACTCTTGCTCTTATTTTATCATCTACTCTTTTACCGTATATTTCTATATATGGTAACATAAGCCTGTTTCCTCCAACCTTAACAGTCATAAATTCTGTTTCACAGCCTCTAAATGGATCCTGGTAACCCCTAAATCTCTCTCTTCATTCCCAAACTCTCTCATGATAGTTAAATGCATTTAGTCAACTACTGACTTAGCATGTCCACTGAGATATCTGATGGGGGACTTTCATACTTAACATGTTCAAAGCAAAATTTGATCCTGTTCCTCTAATCTTTTTTCTACTCCCACCATCTCCCTGGTAATAAATTGAACTGAAAATCACCAGTTGCTCAGGTCAAAAATCTGTCTTTCATCAGTAACTATTTCTCTTCACCTTAAATATCTTATTCATCAGCAAGATCTCAAAATATATCTACACCATGATATCTTTTCACCACCTTCACTTTAAACCACTGTAAGAAAGCCTTCCTTCTTCCACACTTACCCTCCTGGTAGGCTACATCTAAGAAAAGCAGGTTCAGGTGGTTCATTTTGCATTGTCATATTTTGCAGCATGTGTTACTGTTTCCAAATCAGCTATTTTGACAGTTGGGCCAGGAATTAGATATTTCTGTCTTTTTTTTTTTTTTTTTTGAGACAGAGTGTCTCTCATTCAGCCACCTAGGCTGGAGAGCAGTGACACAATCTTGGCTCACTGCAACCTCCACCCTCCATGTTCAAGAGATTCTTCTGCCCCAGCCTCCTGAGTAGCTGGGACTACAGGCACACACCAACACGCCCAGCTAATTTTTCTATTTTTAGTAGAGATGGGGTTTCACCATGTTGGCCAGGATGGTCTCGATCTCATGACCTTGTGATCTGCCCGCCTCGGCCTCCCAGAGTGCTGGCATTACAGGCCTGAGCCACCACGCCTGACCAAGAGATTTCTTAAACAAAGTTTCTGCTCAATAAAAGTACTCTGTATTTGATAATGACACATTACACTAAAACAATTAGAACTTGCTTAGGGAGTTTTACTGTGAAAGGGAGTCAGGAATATTGACAACAGAATCCAAGCAACTCCACTGGAAAAACAATGAAATAAGAATCTATTGAGCTGGAGAATGATGTGTGTACACTTGTGTGTATATGTGTGTGTATGTAGTTTGCATGTATTATATCAGTATGTGTGGCTATTAAAAGAGAGACAGAAACATAGTTTAACCATTGCATCCTTGGGAAAGGGGACTGCTAGGATAGTCTTGTAAACTGAGAGTCTCTAATTTAAGAACCTTTGTTACACAACTTTTGAAAGTGTTTGCTATTTGTCTTCTGTGTTTCTTAAACCATCGTTAACTGAGGCATCCAAAGGAAGTCCATGTTCTTTGTAGCTTGAAAAAAAAATCATCAAAAATAGCTATTTCGGGTGGCTTTTGAGTAATAGATCTTCACAGAAGCTTGGAGGTTATGTAAATAGCAATCGTGCAAATGTGGAGGGGATAGCAAGTGGTAGCTCAAGATTTGTCTGTGCAGCTGATGATCTCTTACATAAAATATGTACCTGCCAAAGCCAAGTTTTGACTACAGCTTTGGAATTCTTTCAATGTGTTAAGTAATGTAGGAACAGGAGAAATAAAAGTTTGCTTCTCATACCTCTAAATTACTACATAAGGAAAAATACAAAAAAGGAAGAAAAATACTTGTGTTATATAAAATTATTGTATACTTTCTTCTTGTAACTGGTGCTCTAAGTTAGCTTTAAACTAGCACTTAAAACATGCACGGCACAATGAAAACAACCCAAAACACTGAAGTCTAAAGGTGATAAGATTTCCTGGTCAAGATCATGGTCAAGGACTCTACTAGTGAGGGTCAGGCACTTAGAAATTTGAATGAGATTACTCAGGAAGAATTGAAAGCACATGAGAAGTTGGAGAATCCCATCAGCTCTTAATATATCACTACAAGTAGAGCAAATCAGAATGCCCCATGAGCCTGGGAACAATGTCAATAAATCAGATTAACAAACACAAAAAAATTAGCAAGAATTTTGTATAACCTTTTAAAGCAAGCCATTAAACAATTAGGTAAATATAAACTTTAACAGTTCCTGATGTAAAAGCTTAGCAAATAGGTAAATATTACGTTGAGATGATTGCTTGCTTGGTGGAAATGCATGGGGAAATGACAGACTGTTCAGTGTGTTAATGTGAACAGCTCTCTATAGCTTTAATATCTTCTTGGATTGACTAATGCAAATTAGTCCCAGTGGTGGCCCACACTTCTCAACACTGAAGAACCAATAGACTACCAGCTATGGGAGGAAAGAGTGGAATTATACCTATCACATGCATCTTATTGATTCACTCCTGCCTTAAAGTCCCAGGTAGAATGCAAAAACAGTACAAAACAAAATGTGCACTGCCATGCATTTAGGAGAAGCTGTTAGAAGTTAAAATATCGGGCCAGGCGCGGGGGCTCACGCTTGTAATCCCAGCACTTTGAGAGGCCGAGGCAGGCGATCACGAGGTCAGCAGATTGAGGCTATCCTGGCCAACATGGTGAAACCCTGTCTCTACTAAAAATACAAAAATTAGCTGGGCGTGGTGGTGTGTGACTATAGTCCCAGTTACTTAGGAGGCTGAGGCAGGAGAATCTCTTGAACCAGAGATGCGGAGGTTGCAGTGAGCCGAGATCGTGTCACTACACTCCAGCCTGGCAAGACTCCATCTCAAAAAAAAAAAAAAAAAAAAAAAAAAAAGTGGTTAAAATACCACTTTTCCGATAGTCCTATCCAAGCCAATAAATGCTAGTAAGAGAGAAAAACTACAGAAAATTAACCACAAAATCCCAAAGGCCTTAAATATAGCAATGATGTATTGCTCACTCAGGCTGTACTAAGAAAGAACACCTTGTAGGGAGTTTTAGTAACTCAATCAGTAGTAGCTCTGGTCATGTTTCCTGACAGCCTGTTGGGTAGAACTATCACATGGCTTTGACAAATTGCAAGGTGTCAGAAAAATGCCAAATGAAATAAAAGGGGAACATTATTGTTTCTGTTTCATTGCCATTCTGTTCACCAACTCTCCCCTGACTGTCTTTTACATAGAACACATTCAACCCTTCCCCAAGGGAGATAGCCCACATGTTTTTGCTTATCTTGCTCTAAGTTTGGAACACCTAGGTGATGTATGAGAGTCCCTACATTGTCATTACAGTTGTTTCCTGTTGGTCTCAAGATGAATTAACCTAAAAAAAAAAAAAAAAGTTATCCCACCAAATCTAATGTGTAACAGTAATAGGATTGAGGTAGCTACAATTAACATATCTAACTAGAGAGAAACAAGTACATACAGATTCTGAAAGCACACTGGGCAGAGGTCATGTGTGCCCCCATCCTGGAGAGGGAAACTGCTCCTCAGGCCCTCACCCTGAGAGTGACTTCACTGTCTACAGTTTTTTTCCTTTCTGAAATTCTTCTTTCTCTATTTTATTTATTTATCATAACTGACATTGACTTTGGGGAATAAACTCTTCTTACATGTTGTATAGCTTTCTCTTTGCCATAAAAGATTGGGGCTTCAGTGCTTTTTTAGTTACAGTCTCTTTGAATCCAGACTCTAAAACTTGGTTACGATGACTTGTTTGTATTCTATCGTACCCGCATCATGTACCAGTAACTGTGCCTACAGGTTTTGTTGTTGTTATTGTTCCTGTTTTAGATAGGGTCTCACTCTGTCACCCAGGCTGGATCATGGCTCAGCGAGGCCTCAACTTTCCAGGCTCAAGCCATTCCCCAGCCTCAGCCTCCCGAGTAACTGGGACTACAGGTGTGTGCCACCACACCCAGCTAATGTTTGTATATTTTGTAGAGCTTGGGTTTCACATGTTGCCCAGGCTGGTCTTGAACTCCTCAATTCAAGCAATCCGATCCGCCCTCCTTGGCCTTCCAAATAGCTGGGATTATAGGCGTGAGCCACTGCACCTGGCCAACCTACTGTTTTATTGCATTTATATTTCTCATGATGAATATAATGCTTGGCTCTTTGATTTCCACTTTCTCCTTCTCCCTCCCCTTGCTCTTTTCACTCACTTAGTGGAATTAATGGTAGGCACCTTGAGGTTATATAACCAGAAGAGCTAAAAGAGCCGCATCATTATCATAAACTTTCCCTCTAATAAATTTTTAAACTGAAAAAATTTACTGGGTGCCACACCTTAGTATGATCTTTGCTTTGAGACAATTTAATTAATTGAAAGATTTTGCTAAATATTTATTACTCAAAGTCATTCTTATTCTAGTTTTTGCCTGTTTGCAGTTGAAAGTTACCATTAGGACAAATACCAAATGCATGTGGGGCTTAAAACCTAGATGACGGGTTGATAGGTGTAGCAAACCACCATGGCATGTGTATGCCTATGTAACAAACCTGCATGTTCTGCACATGTATCCCAGAACTTAAAAAACAAAACAAAACAAAACAAAACAAAACAAAACAAGGTGGCATTTCTGATAGTGCAACTTCACTAATTTCTGAGATTTCTCTAGTCCCTTTCATTTCTGGTCAGAAAATTGATAATCCTTCCATGAGCTCAGCTCTTTCCTGCAGTGCCTCCCTGGTGCAGCTGAAAACAAATAAAGCCCACTACTAATGTTCTTTGCAGAGCTATTTGTCCATAGCTAAAGGTTCATTAATCTATGACTTGCCTTCCAACTTTCCACAGGCAACAGTATTACCTAATATTTTGCCATTTTATTACTTGGATCACTGCCTTTTCCGGGTTTTATATTAGTTTTTTTGCCATTATTCTCAATTACTAAGCCTAACAATTAAGCTAAAGGCATACATTTTAAGCTTTTTTTCTTTCGTTTGTTTCTGTAGTTTCTCTTCCTTTCTCCTTCTCCTTCTCCCTTCTCTTCTTCTTCTCCTCCTCTTCTGCTTCTCCTCCTCCTCCTTTTTCCTTCTACTTCTTATTAATAATTAATCCAGATAGAAAAGGCTATGCTGTAGTTACAAACACCACCAATATATCAGAGGTTTTATAAACAAGTCTGTGCATGGCACTCATGGCTGGCAAGGGAAACTTTTTCTTGCTTATGCTATGTTCTATCACCTTGTGCCTCCACCGTTTTACAAAACAATTGGCCTACTTGGTTGTCATAAAAGAGAAGGAGAGACTAGAGGACAATATTTGTTTGCCTATAGGATCATTTTTACTGACTCAGCCTTACACTTATTTTCCAGCACAGCCCTAGGGCCAAGTGTCTTTGCTCTATAGGGAGGTTGAAAATGTAGAGGTGCACATAGAATATGTGGTAAGCATTGCAGTCTCGCAGTGGACTCAGTGGTGCCTGTCAAGTGTTAGAAGGTATGTGATCATTGACATGTGACTAAGAGACTTTTAATCCCTTTTAATAACTAGATATAGCTATAGTAGATAAATTATATTCATAGCTGACCTGGAAAGGTACTAGCTAGAATTTGCTTGCTGTAGGAATTGTTTGGAAGGATAAACAAGAAAGGAAATCTTCTCATTTGAGATAATATTTTAGTACATAATCCCCATAAAATGATCATAGCCCTTTGTCCAGAGAACAGTTCAAGGCAGAAAGGTGGACATTTATAGGTGAATAATTAATCCCCAAAATGGTCTTGTAAAATAGCTCTGCACAACAGGCCTGCTATAACAGGACACATCTCTATTGTGACTAATGAAGCCAATCTTAGTCCTGCTCCTGACTTTTGAATATGAGACACAGAGAGAGGCCATCACCAGAAAACAGAGAAGCAATAGTAGAACCCTGCATCCTAAGATATATATTATGATAAATGTCCATTTACTGAGGTAAAGTGTTTCTATTTCTTGCAACTTGAAACATCCTGACTCACACAAAAAGTAGATATGTGCAAATTATGAAGATATTGTATCCCCCCAAAAGTCAGATGTTAAAGCCTCACCCCCAACGTGGCTATTTGGAGATAGGGCTTTTTAGGAAGCCAGTTAGGTTAAATGAAGTCATACAGGTGGGTTCCTAATCCTCTAGGACTGGTGCCTTTATACATAGAGGAAACTACACTAGATATTTGTCTTTTCTTTCTTTCTTTTTGAGACAGAGTTTCCCTTTGTCATGCAGGCTGGAGTGCAGCGGCACGATCTCAGCTCACTGCAACCTCCACCTCCCAGTCTCAAGTGATTCTTGTTGCTCAGCCTCCTGAGTAGCTAGAATTACAGGCACATGCCACCATGTCCAACTAATTTTTGAATTTTTAGTAGAGACGGGGTTTCACCATGATGGCCAGGCTGGTCTCAAACTCCTGGCCTCAAGTGATTCACCCACCTCGGCCTCCCAGAGTGCTGGGATTACAGGCATGAGCTATTGCACCCGGCCTGCACTAGATATTTTTCTTTCTCTGTGCACACAAAGGAAAGGGTATGATAGGGCACAGCAAGAAGGTGGCTGTCTACAAACCAGAAAGAGAGATCCCACCAGAAATAAACACTGGCAGCACCTTGGTCTAGGACATTCAGCCTCCAGAACTTTGAGAAAATAAATTTCTATTGTTTAAGTCCGGCCGTTGACGGTATCTTGATATGGCAGCCTGAGAAGAGTAATACAGCATATATTCTTTACTGAGGTGCCTTGGTATGAGCACACTATGCCTATTGCTACTTGGTTTTCTTTTATCTAAGAACCTCTTATTCAAACGTTTTCGGTTCCATAATAGAAGTATTAATTTATTCTTTTTTGCCTTGGCAGCTTTTTGTAGTTTAATGGTTTAAAGATCAACAAAGACAATCCATGGACTTCACAAATCAGTAACAGTAAGAAAAACATAAATATTATCAGGATTTTACTAATCCTCGTGGATGCTCATGTGGAAAATTGAGGCAAGTATATGAAACAAATGGCCCCTGATATTTGCAATACTTGGAAGTTTTTTGTTTGCTCTTATTTTTTGAAAGCTTTTGTCTAGAACTGTTTTTAATAAACTTTTTCTCATTTTAATAATAATTAAATTTATAAAACATATTTTGAGCATTTATCATATGTCAGAGTTCTAGGTGCTGAGGAGTAATTAATGAACAAAATAGACACAAATTTATACCTTCACAAAGGTTGGTAAGAGAAGGCAGGTAATAAATATAGATATGCTAAATATTTGATATGCTATGTAGTGATATGTGTTGCCATGTTGGAAAGGAGATTTGGGTGGGAGGAATTACAATTTAACTGAAGATAACATTTGAGTAGAAAATCTGGAGGAGATATGAGATAGTCAACCACATATCTGAAGGAAAGATCATTCCAGGCAGAAGGAACAGCAAATTCACAGATGTGAAAAGAAAGCATGTTGATGGGTTTAAGAAGTAGCAAAGTCAGCTTGGCTGGAGGAAGGTGATGGGAGTGGGGAAGATGTAGGAGATAGGATCAGAAAGGTGATCAACTGGGTCCTGGTTAATTGAAGGATTTGTCTTTTGACCTCAGAGAGGTAGAAGTCACTGACGGATATTGAGCAAAGCTATGACATGATCTGACATATTTTAACAACACAACTCTGGCTGCTGCATTGAGAACAATAGGTTATAAGATGCCAAGAAAACAGAGAGGAAGACCAGGTAGGAAATAATCTAAGTGACAAAGGAGTGAGATGATGGTGTCTTGGATCAGAAGCACCCTAGTGGAGGTATTGGGAAGTTGCCTGATTCTGGATACATTTTGTAGACAGAGCCATTAGCATGTGCTGACTTACTGAATACAAAGTGTGACAAAAAGAGGGGTATTAAGGGTTATTCCAAGGTTTTTGGTCTGGACAAATGTAAGGAGGGGTTGTCATTCACTGAGATGGGCTAAGTGAGAAGCTACACATAGGTTGGAGGCAAGAAGAATTAGCAGTTTCTTTTCGACCATGTGAAGTTTGAAATATTCGACATATTGAAGATTGAATATTCTAGATCTATGTGGAGATGTCAGATGAATAGTTCAAGATTTGAGTCTGGAATTGAGGGAATGAGACATAAACATTTGAATGGTGTCAATAAATAAAAGATATTTAAAGCCTTAACACAGATGATACCACAGAGGAAGGGTGTGTAGCTAGGTAAGAGAAAAAAATCAAGTGATAATTAGAGATTCTGATTAGATGCAGCAACTTTTATGAAGCTATTGTCAATTATTTTATTTTAGCACTTCTTGATTCTATTCTTGTTGTATCCAAACAAACTTATAGAATAATACTCGACATTTACTTCTTTACTTAAAATATAAGTCCTTCTTTATTTCATAAAAATTTAAGTTGATTGTAGTATGTCTCTCTTTTACAATATGGAGAATTTTGATATCTTTAAGTTTACGGACTTTCTTAACTTTCTGAAGAATGTTTATTTTTCACTCGTTCAGACATTATCATTCCTGATTATCAAGTCTATTGTTGATATTTCTGAATCTTATTCTGTGAAACAAAACAAATCAAATGTTTCCATATTCTAATTCTTTGAAGCAAAATAGTACTTTTCACATCATTACAAAACCAGAAACAAGATTACTTGTTCTTAATAGGGACATGAATATCATTGTTAAATGAATAGATTCAGATGCAAAAGAAGAGAGAGTTCATGGATAAAGGAATGGACAGAGCTGATAGGAGGTTGTTTTGATCTAATTACAATTAATTGGAAGAGAAGACCCTAAACTGGTCAAGACTTAATTTTAGTAGTGTTTAAATAAAATGTCTTTCTGTTATTAGAAGTATATAAAATAATTTGCAATTATGGTAGCACTGTAACTGCTTCTATTCAGGACAATAATAATGTAGCCCTATGTCCTCTTACTTATGTATGAAGAAGTGAGGGTGGAGAGACAATCTGGACAGCCTTCCTCTGACTGGGTTTTGTCCAGTGTTAATTCGGTAACAGAGTCTGCCTGAAGTCAAATTTAATGCTACATACACTATCCTGATAAGTAATTGGAAATATTACTAAAATGTTGTGGATTCATTAATTATCTAACACATTTTTATTGAGTGACTTGTGTATGCTTACTGGTATTCTAAATGCTAAGAATTTAGCAGTGAACTAGACATACAGTCTGTGCCCTCAAGGAGCTTGCATTTTAGTAGGCAGTAAACAAAGAAATACATAAATGAAAAATGTCAGATATAATGTGTGTTAAAAAGAAAATACAGAAGGTTAAAGGGATAGAGAGAGAGACAGCAATAGGTAATAGACAATGTATTCTATGCAGAGATCAGAAAACACCTCTCTAAGAAGATACTTGAACAATGACCTAAATGATGAAGTGATCTAGCACCTACACACACTGGGGCAAGATTGATACAGAAAGAGGAGAAAGTAGGTGCAATAAACGTGTAAGGATTCATTCATTCATTTAATAATAAACACTCACATAATAATAGATGCTAGATGTTACATTTCAAAGAATACAGTATCAGTCCTTGAGAACTTATGTTTTACTGGTCTGATGAGCACTCTTATGAAGGTCTAATATTAAATATCAACAACTTATTACCGGAACTAGAAGGCAGTATGAGTGGAGTTTTGAGCAGCATTTCTTTTTCATTAACGATAACAGGTCTTATGCTCATTAGGGATGGCTAGGTCATGGTCCCACTTCTACATTTTTTCTCTGTTCCTTTCTGTTATTTGTCCATATTTATATGAATGTTGCAGAGATCTACACTCTCTCTGTGCTATCTTTTCAGTGTCCAGTTACTCCATTGCTATGACATTGATGCCCTTTGCCATTCATTTTATTCTTCTATGTCGTATACACTTTGAACCTCATGCAGATTGTGCACTTTCAAGACACTCTTTCTTGCGTACTTCCATTTTTCTGAAGAATGTAACTTACTAAGTTGTCTTTTCCTCAATATCATCTGCTTCTTCTTCTCTGATACTTTTTTTTTAACTGAAATTTTAGAATAGTTTTAAGTGGCCAGAAAAGTTTTGAAGAAAGTATAGAGAGTATAATCAACATGTCACATTAGTATGTTGCAATTGTATCAATAAATGATACAATATTTATGCATAATTAACTAAAATTCATGTTCTATTTAGGTTCCCTTAGACTTTACCTAATGTCCCTTTCCTGTTCCATGATTCCACCAAGTAGCATATCACATTTTATCTAGTTGTTATGTCTCTGTAGGCCCCTCTTGATTGTGACAGTATCTCAAACTTTTCTTGTGCCTGATGACCTTGACAATTTTTAAAAGTGCCCCCAGGCTGTTTTGGAGAATGCTTCTCAATTTGTGTTTGTCTGATGCTTTTGCCCATGACTAGACTGGGCTTATGGGTCTGGGGAGGAAGATCAGAGGTAAAATGTCACTGTCGTTACATCAAGAGTACACACTATCAATATGACTTGCTACTGATGTTAACCTTGATAACCTGGCTGAGGTGGTATTTGTCAGGTTTCTCCATTGTAAAGTGACTATTCTCTACCCCTTTATATACAATATTGTACTCTTTGTAAGCAAGTTACTATGCACAATCCACACTTAATGAATGGGAAGGTACGTTCCACCTACTTAAAGGCAAAACATCTACCAAAATTATTTGGAATTTATCTGCACAGATTTGTGTCTATCTATCTATCTATCTGTCTGTCTGTCTGTCTGTCTGTCTGTCTGTCTGTCTGTCTATCCATCTATCTATCTGTCTATCCATCCATCAATCTATTCAGTTGTTCACTTATATCAGTATGAACTAATGGATATTAGTTAATTTTTTCATGAGTTTATTTATTCTTTTACCATCTTGTTCCACCTCAAAACATGGAAGACTTCCTGCTTTTTTGCCTATTTTTCTTTTTAAAATTTGCCTTTTGTTTGTCATAGAAAGCCGGCATATTCTTTGGGGTGGGAGGTGTGCAGTTACTTTGGTCTTTGGGGCTCTAGCAATATTCTCAAATTATTTGTTCAGCTTATGAGGGAGAAAAACTCTGCCAGTATTTTCTGTGGGGACCCAGGAGAGGTAAATAGCTGAATTAGGTGTCGCGAGGAAAGTGAACAGCATTGAAGTCCCACACCTGATAATTCCCATGACCCAGCTTCTTGAGGCCAAATTTTCACACCTTCAACTCTTTTTTCCCATTCCTATTATATATTTAGAATGTACTCTTTAACACTTTCAAAATGTTTTGTTATCTATTCTCTCTAAATATTTTGAAATCTGGTTTCCACTCTACCATTATACTAGAATGGAACTCTAAATATTTAATGTTTCTCAACTGCTGAAGTAGCAAAAATCCAAAATTTTAACAACATACTCTGTACCTAATGATTCAGGTTCTTGATGAGTATTTTTTTTATTGAGAAGCCACTGTTTTCTTCACCAGAAATACTGATCAGAGATGTATAATGAGGCCCTATGTGCATCTCATGGGTCCACGTATAGTTCTCTTTGCCATCACTGTGCATTAGTAACAAAGCTCTCATGCCTGTAATCCCAGCACTTTGGGAGGCTAAGGTGGGCAGATCACCTGAGGTCAGGAGTTCGAGACCAGCCTGACCAAGATGGTGAAACCCTGTCTCTACTAAATACAAAAAATTAGCTAGTTGTGGTGGTGGGTGCTCGTAATCCCAGCTACTTGAGAGGCTGAGGCAGGAGAATCGCTTGAACCAGGGAGTTGGAGGTTTCAGTGAGCCGAGCTTGTGCCATTTTACTCCAGCCTGGCCAACAGAGTGAGACTCCATCTCAAAAACAAAAACAAAAACAAAAAAAACCCCACCACCACCACCAGCAACAACACCCTCACCTTTTGGTAATAAAGATCAGTACTTGGCCAGGTCAGTGACCCCCTTTCTATGAATTTTGTTCCAACTGCATAAACATTACAGGTTAGGGTCAATATCAGCTCTAAATTTAATGTAATTTTTCCTTAATAATGTAGCACCAGGCAATGGCTTACAAAATTTCATATTTGCCAGGGAAATAAACTTGTTAACTCCCAGAACATTTGATCTGAATCACTTTTATATTATTTAACAAGTCTTAATTTATATTTTATTTTATTTTATTATTATTTTTTTAGATGAAGTCTTACTCTGTTGCCCAGCCTAGAGTGCAGTGACACAATCTTGGCTCACTGTAACTCAATACAATCTCCGCTTCCTGAGTTCAAGTGATTCTCCTGCCTCAGCCTCCTGAGTAGCTGGGTTTACAGGCACACACAAGCACTCCCAGATAATTTTTGTATTTTTAGTAGAGGTGGCGTTTCACCATGTTGGCCAGGCTGGTCTCGAACTCCTGACCTCAGGTGATATGCCCACCTTGGCCTCCCAAAGTGCTGGGATTACAGGCGTGAGCTGCCGCGCCCGGCCCATACCTTATATTTTAGACATCTGCGTATGTACCTTGTTTCCTTTAGTAGTTGAGAAATTATTTAAAGCACATTTCATATGTTAATTAGCATGATTTTCACTATATAGGGATCCCTATATAGCATTTTAATAGACTGAATGAAGTTGTTTCTGGGTCGCACGTTTGTTATGCTGTTAATAGTTGAAGAAAAGTTTTCCTTCCTTATTTCTTTGTTCCTTCTTTCCTTTTCAGTCAAAAAGCCATTAGGAAATTTAGGTAAATATTCCACCTGCAAGGAGATGTATCATAACCCCTACTGTTTAAGTGTAGAATGCACATAATAAATTATTGCCAAAAAGTATAATATAGATAGGGGAAAGAAAGTTAATTTACAGTGGAGCAACCTGGAAAGCTCTATTACTGCTGGGTGATCAAAGTTCACATCAACAGTGATAAGTCAGGTTGAGTGTGTACCCTTTGATATGATATGATGATAATGGCACTTTGTTTCTCTGGTCTTCCCTCTCAAAAGCTGTAACTCCTGTATACTCAGGAGAAATAAATCAGATATATCCCATTTGAGGAACATTCAACCCAATCTCTGATCAGATCAGTATTCCTTAAAACTGTGCATTACATTATAAAGAAGAGACATCTGGGAAACTGTCATAACCAAGAGGAACCTATGAAGACATGATCGATGACTAAATATAAGATGGTGTCCAAGGTAGGGTTCTAGAACAAAAACAACAAGAAAGGACATTAACTGAAGACTATGGGAATCTAAATAATGTCTGGACTTTAGATAATGATAGTGTATCCGTACTGGTTCATTAATTATTATAATTATTCTATACTAATGCACGGTAATACTAATAGAGGAAACTTGGTATGGGGTGTATGAAGACTGTGTGTACTGTATGCAAAATTTGTTGTAAATTTCAACCTATTTTAAATAAAAAAGAATGTTTATTACAAAAGGTTTCAAAAAGACATTAGGTAGCTCAAATAGGGCACCTGATGGTGGCCAAAGGCCAAACAAGGAGAATGTCAGAACAAGGTAGCCGTGGCCTCTGGAACCCACCCAAGGCGGACTTCAAAGCAGAGCAAGAATATATTCCAAAGACTGACTGCAGTGAAGGAGATCGAGCCGATAATTAAACATATCTGGTTAACAATGGATAATGAAGCAAGGTTTCTCATTTATTGGAGAAGTGAGGTGCAAATATGGAAAGGAGAAAAGATAGAATGAAGCCTATGGTATTGGACAAATTCACGTTAAAGAACATTCTAGAAAATTATTGGTCTATAATTTTTGAAAGTGTGAGAAATTATTTCCTGGAAATCAAGAAAAGGAGAAAGACTGAAAAAAGATTCCAGATTTAAAAAGACTAGAGAAATAGGAAATCTAGGTGCAGCATAACATCTTTTTGCTCTAAAAGACATATAACAATAGGCAGCTCTTTGCTTTAGCCCTGTTATCTTCAAAAGAAAAAAGAAAAAATAGAAATTAAACAAGGCAAAGTCCCATTTTTCTAATATTACACTACACACACACACACACACACACACACCGTTCCTAAAAGATTATCGAGACATTTCAGTTCAAACTACATAAGAAATATTTAAACATTCAAGTAAAAAGGTTTGATACCTCGGGACAACTGGCTTTCTTTCCCCAACCATTCTGATTAATTACATATTTTTTTCTAATAATTCTTTACTTATTCTTCCTACTGTTTTTGCCTTAGTAAAATTTTTCTTCTTTTTTTTTTTTGGTTTGTTTTGTTTTTTTCTGGACAACTAAATAAATTGTTTACTTAAACTCTAATCAGCTTTAAACTGAACAAAGCCACTTCCACGTCAACAGAAATATATTTTGGCCTATACTCAGGTTCCACACTGGATTCTATCCTTACAAAAAATTTGTCATTTTTTAAATATGAACCATACTAATAAAAATAGGAGACAACCCTATGTCAAAAGAGAGTTAAAAATTATTTCTACTTTTCTTTCTTCCTTCCTTCTTTTTTTGCCCTCCTTCCTTCCCTTCCTCCCTCCTGATCCATCCTTCCTTCCTTCCTTTTTTCCTTCCTTCCTTCCATCCATCCTTCCTTCCTTCTGTTTTTCTTCTTTCCCTCCCTTCTTCCCTCCCTCCCTCCTTCACTCCCTTCTTCCTTCCATCCTTCCTTCCTTCCCTCTTTCCCTCCTTTCTTCCCTCCCTCCATCTCTCCCTCCCTTGCTTCTTTCCTTTCTTCCCTTCCTCCCTCTCTCACTTACTGGCTTTGTTTTAGAAGATCAGATACCTCTAATTTCTTAACTTCTTTAAAGTGAAGGTAGTGACATTTACAATAATAATATAAAATTAATTAAGTGAGGAAGCTCAAATTATTTTTAATGGCTTTAATTACAAGGTTAAATGCCATGCTCATGAAACTCTCTAAGGAAAGACTCTATCCAAGATCATCTGGGATAGAGAAGGCAGAAATGACTCAGGTTACTCGTCAAGGAAGAGTGGCATTCTTTGAATGTTTGGCAATACATTTTATAATAAGCCAATCATCCAGAAGGAAAGAAACAACCAAATAATAATTTATTTATAATTAATTTCTAATTGCAGCGTAGTGTAGAATATTTATCTTTTAACGAGAGTGGTTTTATGATGTCTTTTAAGCAGCACACTTGAGAGATTTAATCCCAACTAACTTAGCTACTTTCTGAATAGTTCAGTGTACCTAAAATTCTGGAGACTCAGATTTATTCTATTTCTACATTCTGGTGGAAGTGGCCTGGAACTGGATAACAGAACTGGCCTTACCACCTTCACTTTATACATCAATGAATTAAGTTGAATTGTTTTGTTTCCAAAGCTACTAACCTCCAGCTCTTATAATGTACTGAACTAGAGTTTATCTTTGCCTTCTCCTTTCCTCTCACCCTGCTAGGGCTCAGTCCGTGAGACTTATTTTTCCTTGCTTGGAAATAAATTCTCAATATTTTTTTCTTAATATTTTTCATTAACTCTGCCATAAGATATCAAAAATACCACAATTATGTTGGAGTGAAATACTCTTATTTCAGGAATATTGCAATAGCCTTTACTTTTGTATTTGCCTTCATGTAAAATTTATTGAAAATTACTGTTTAGAGTAATTTTCTTAAAATACTGCTTCTGCTACTGCGCACAATTCAGTACTGAGTGCAGAAAATTATCTAAATTTCTATATGGCAATTCCAGCCAATTCTCAAACTGCTTTACCCTTCCTTTACAGGTATGTTTTCTCTTGCTCACCTATTTGTTGTCTCAATTTCTAGTCAAAGCAGTTTATTTATGTCCCATTATCTATCTTCCTATTTCTTGTATCCACATCTTTGTTCATATTCTCTCTCCTATTTATTCTATAGGCAACAAAAACTCCTTTCCCACCTCACTTTCCCTCCTTATCAAAATTGTATCAAATGTTAATCTTCAACTTAAAATCTTTTCCAACAGCAGAATATGCACTCTTCTCAAGTGCATATGAACACTCTTCATTACAGATTATATCTTAGACCACAAAACAATTCTGAATACATTTAAAAATATTAAAGTCATACAAAGTATCTTTTTTTCTTTCTTCTTTTTTAAATTTTTTAAATTGTATTTTAAGTTCTGAGATACATGTGTACAACGTGCAGGTTTGTTACATACTTATACACGTGCCATGGTGGTTGGCTGCACCCATCAACCCGTTATCTACATTAGTTATTTCTCCTAATGCTATCCCTCCCCTAGTCCCCCACCCCCTGACAAGCCTGGTGTGTCAGGTTGCCTCCCTGTGTCCATGTGTTCTCATAGTTCAACTCCCACTTATGAGTGAGAAAATGCGGTGTTTGGTTTTCTGTTCCTGTGTTAATTTGCTGAGAATGATGATTTCCAGCTTCATCCATGTCCCTGCAAAGGACATGAACTCATCCTTTTTTATGGCTGCATAGTATTCCATGGTGTCTATGTACCATATTTTCTTTATCCAGTCTATCACTGATGGCCATTTGGGTTGGTTCCAAGTCTTTGGTATTGTAAATAGTGCTGCAATAAACATACACGTGCATGTGTCTTTATAGTAGAATGATTTATAATCCTTTGGGTATATACTCAGTAATGGGATTGCTGGGTCAAATGGTATTTCTGGTTTTAGATCCTTGAGAATCGCCACACTGTCAATTCTCACACAACTGTAACACAGTTCTGTCACACAGTTGTGTTGATTTACACACAACTGTAAATAGGTCGAACTAATTACACCCCCACCAACAGTGTAAAAGCATTCCTATTTCTCCACGTTCTCCAGCATCTGCTGTTTCCTGACTTTTTAATGATCGCCATTCTAACTGGTGTGAGACGGTATCTCTTTGTGGTTTTGATTTGCTTTTCTCTAATGAACAGTGATGATGAGCTTTTTTTCATGTTTGTTGGCCATATAAATGTCTTTTTCTGAGAAGTGTCTATTCACATCCTTTGCCCACTTTCTGATGAGGTTGTTTGTTTTTTTCTTGTAAATTTGTTTAGTTCTTTGTAGATTCTGGATATTAGCCCTTTGACAGACAGATAGATTGCAGAAATTTTCTCCCATTCTGTAGGTTGCCTTTTCACTCTGATGATAGTTTCTTTAAGCTCTTTAGTTTAATTAGATCCCATTTGTCTATTTTGGCTTCTGTTGCCATTGCTTTTGGTGTTTTAGTCATGAAGTCTTTGCCAGTGCCTGTGTCCTGAATGGTACTGCCTACATTTTCCTCTAGGGTTTTCATGGTTTTTAGGTCTTACATTTAAGTTTTTAATACATCTTGTTAATTTTCCTATAAGGTGTAAGGAAGGGGCCCAATTTCAGTTTTCTGCATATGGCTAGCCAGTTTTCCCAACCCGTTTATTAAGTAGGGAATCTTTTCCTCATTGCTTTTGTCAGGTTTGTCAAAGATCAGATGGTTGCAGTTGTGCTGCACTTTTTTTCTGAGACCTCTGTTCTGTTCCATTGGTCTATATATCCGTTTTGGTACCAGTACCATGCTGTTTTGGTTACTGTAGCCTTGTAGTATGGTTTGAAGTCAGGAAGCATGATGCCTCCAGCTTTTTTTTTTTTTTTTTTTTTTGCTTATGGATGTCTTTGTTATATGAGCTCTTTGTTGTTGTTGTTTTTCCATATGAAATTTAAATTAGTTTTTCTACTTCTGTGAAGAAAGTCAATAGTAGCTTGATGGGGATAGCATTGAATCTATAAATTACTTTGGGCCATATGGTCATTTTCACAATATTGATTCTTCCTATCCACAAGCATGGAATGTTTTCCCATTTGTTTGTACCCTCTTTTATTTCCTTGAGCAGTGGTTTGTAGGTCTCCTTGAAGAGGTCCTTCACATCCCTTGTAAGTTGTATTCCCAGGTATTTTATTCTCGTTGTAGCAGTTATGAATGGGAGTTCACTCATGTTTTGACTCTCTGTTTTTCTATTATTGGTGTATAGGGATGTTTGTGATTTTTGCACATTGATTTTGTATCCTAAAACTTTGCTGAAGTTGCTTCTCAGCTTAAGGAGATTTGGACTGAGATGATGGGGTTTTCTAAATATACAATTATGTCATCTGCAAGCAGAGACAATTTGACTTCCTCTCTTCTTACGTGAATACCCTTTATTGCTTTCTCTTGCCTGATTGCCATGGCCACAACTTCCAATACTGTATGTTAAATAGGATAGGTGAGTTAGGGCATCCTTGTCTTGTGCCGGTTGTCAAAGGGAATGCTTCCAGCTTTTGCCAATTCAGTGTGATATTGGCTGTGGGTTTGTCATAAATAGCTCTTATTATTTTGAGATATGTTTCCTCAATACCTAGTTTATTGATGGATTTTAGCATGAAGGGGTGTTGAATTTTTGGAAGGCCTTTTCCGCCTCTATTGAAATAATCATGTGGTTTTTATCATTGGTTCTGTTTATGTAATGGATTACATTTATTGATTTGTATATGCTAAACCAGCCTTGCATTCCAGGGATGAAGCCAACTTGATCACGGTGGATAAGGTTTTGATGTGCTGTGGGATTCATGTTGCCAGTATTTTATTGAGGATTTTTGCGTTGAGGTTCATCAGGGATATTTGCCTAAAGTTTTCTTTTTTTGCTGTGTCACTGCCAGGTTTTAGTAGCAGGATGATGCTGGCCTCATAAAATGAGTTAGGGAGGATTCCCTCTTTTTCTATTCTTTGGAATAGTTTCAGAAGGAACGGTACTAGCTCCTCTTTGTACCTCTGGTAGAATTTGGCTGTGAATCCATCTGGTCCTGGGTTTTTTTTAGTTGGTAGGCTATTAATCGTTGCTTCAATTTCAGAACTTGTTATTGGTCTATTCATGGATTCGACTTCTTTCTGATTTAGTCTTGGGAGGGTGTAAGTGTCCAGGAATTCATCCATTTCTTCTAGATTTTCTAGTCTATTTGCGTAGAGGTGTTTATAGTATTCTCTGATGGTAGTTTGTATTTCTGTGGGATCAGTGGTGATATTCCCTTTATCATGTTTTATTGTGTCTATTGGATTCTTCTCTTTTCTTCTTTATTAGTCTGGCTAGCAGTTTATCTATATTGTTAATCTTTTCAAAAAACCAGCTCCTGGATTCATTAATTTTTTGAAGGGTTTTTTTGTGTCTTCAGTTGTGCTCTGATCTTGGTTATTCCTTGTCTTCTGCTAGCTTTTGAAAGTTTGCTCTAGCTTCTCTAGTTTTTTTTTAATTGTGATGTTAAGGTGTTGATGTTAGATCTTTTGTGCTTTCTCCTGTGGGGATTTTAGTGCTATAAATTTCCCTCTAAACACTGCTTTAGCTGTGTTCCAGAGATGCTGGTATGTTGTGTCTTTGTTCTCACTGGTTTCAAAGAACATCTTTATTTCTGCCTTCATTTTGCTATTTTCCCAGTAGCCATTCAGGAGCAGGTTGTTCATTTTCCATGTAGTTGTGTGATTTTGAGTGAGTTTCTTAATACTGAGTTCTAACGTGATTGCACTGTGGTCTGAGAGACTGCTATGATTTCCGTTCTTTTGCATTTGCTGAGGAGTGTTTTACTTCCAATTATGTGGTCAATTTTAGAATAAGTGCAATGTGTGGCTGAGAAGAATGTACATTCTGTTGATTGGGGTGGAAAGTTCTGTAGATGTCTATTAGGTTTGCTTGGTCCAGAGCTAAGTTCAAGTCCTGAATATCCTTGTTAATTTTTTGTCCCATTGATCTAATATTGACAGTGCAGTGTTAAAGTTTTCCACTATTATTGTGTGGGAATCTAAGTCTCTTTGTAGGTCTCTGAGAACTTGCTTTATGAATCTGGGTGCTCCCGTATTGGGTGCATATATATTTAGGATAGTTAACATTTCTTGTCATGTTGATCTGTTTACCATTATGTAATGCCTTTCTTTTTTGATCTTCATTGGTTTAAAGTCTGTTTTATCAGAGACTAGGATTGCAGCCTCTGCTTTTTGTTTTGTTTTGTTTTCCATTGCTTGGTAAATATTCCTCCATCCCTTTATTTTGAGCCTATGTGTGTCTATGCACGTGAGATGGGTCTCCTGAATACAGCACACCGATGGGTCATGAGTCTCTATCCAATTGGCCAGTCTCTGTCTTTTAACTGGGGCATTTAGCCCGTTTACATTTAAGGTTAATATTCTTATGTGTGAATCTGATCCTGTCATTATGATGCTAGCTGGTATTTTGGCCGTTAGTTGATGCAGTTTCTTCATACTGTCAATGGTCTTTACAATTTGGTATATTTTTGCAGTGTCTGGTACCAGTTTTTCCTTTCCATATTTAGTGCTTCTTTCAACAGCCCTTGTAAGGCAGGCCTGATGGTGACAAAATCTCTCAGCATTTGCTTGTCTGTAAAGGATTTTATTTCTCCTTTGCTTATAAAGCTTACTTTGGCTGGATATGAAATTCTGGTTTGAAAGTTCTTTTTTTTAAGAATGTTGAATATTGGCCTCCACTCTCTTCTGTCTTGTAGTGTTTCTGCAGAGAGATCTTTTGTTAGTCTGATTGGCTTCCCTTTGTGGGTAATCTGACCTTTCTCTCTGGCTCCCCTTAACATTTTTTCCTTCATTTCAACCTTGGTGAATCTGATGATTATGTGTCTTGGGGTTGTTCTTCTTGAGGAGTGTATTTGGGTATTCTCTGTATTTCCTGAATTTGAGTGTTTTCCTGTCTTGTTAGGTTGGATAAGTTCTTCTGGATAATATTCTGAAAAGTGTTTTCCAACTTGGTTCCATTCTCCCCGTCATTTTCAGGTACACCAATCAAACGTAGGTTTGGTCTTTTCACATAGTCCCAAATTTCTTGGAGGCTTCGTTCATTCCTTTTCATTCTTTTTTCTCTAATCTTGTCTTCATGCTTTATTTCATCAAGTTGATCTTCAATCTCTGATATCCTTTCTTCTGCTTGATCAATTCAGCTGTTGATACTTGTGTATGCTTCACAAAATTCTCGTGCTGTGTTTTTCAGCTCCATCAGGTCATTTATGTTCTTCTCTAAGCTGGTGATTCTAGTCAGCAATTTGTCACTAACTATTCTAGTTAGCAATTTTTTCATGGTTCTTAGCTTCCTTACATTGGGTTATAACATGCTCCCTTAGCTTGGAGGAGTTTATTATTACCCACCTTCTGAAGCCTATTTCTGTCAATTTGTCAAACTCATTCTCCCTCTAGTTTTGTTTCCTTGCAGGCAAGGAGTTGTGATCCTTTGGAGGAGAAGAGGCATTCTGGTTTTTGGAATTTTCAGGCTTTTTGTGCTGGTTTTTCCTCATCTTCGTGGATTTATCTACCTTTGTTCATTGATGTTGGTGACTTTTGGATGTGGTTTATGTGTGAACGCCCTTTTTTTGTTGATGATGATGCTATTCCTTTCTGTTTGTTAGTTTTCCTTCTAACAGTCAGGCCTCTCTGCTGCAGGTCTGCTGGAATTTGCTGGAGGTCCACTCCAGGCCCTGTTTGCCTGTGTATCACCAGTTGAGATTGCAGAACAAGAAATATTGCTGCTTGTTCCTTCCTCTGGAAGCTTGATCCCGGAGGAGTACCTGCCAGATGCTAGTCAGAGCTCTCCTGTATGAGGTGTCTGTCGACCCCTGCTGGGAGGTGTCTCTTAGTCAAGAGGCACGGGGGTCAGGGACCCATCTGAGGAGGCAGTCTGTCCGTTAGCAGAGCTCGAGTGCGGTGCTGGGAGATCTGCTCTCTTCAGAGCCGGCAGGCAGGAATGTTTAAGTCTGCTGAAGCTGCACCCACCACCGTCCCTTCTGCCAAGTGCTCTGTCCCAGGGAGATGGAAGTTTGATCTATAAGCCCCTGACTGAGGCCGCTGCCTTTCTTTCAGAGATTCCCTGCCCAGAGAGGAGGAATCTAGAGAGGCAGTCTGGCTACAGTGCATTTGCCAAGCTGTGGTGGGCTCCACCCAGTTTGAAATTCTGGTGGCTTTGTTTACACTGTGAGGGGAAAACCACCTACTCAAGCCTCAGTAATGGTGGACCCCCCTCCTCCCACTAAGCTAGAGCATTGCAGGTCGACTTCAGACTGATGTGCTGGCAGCGAGAATGTCAAGCCAATGGATCTTAGTTTGAAGGGCTCTGTGGGGGTGGGATCTGCTGAGCTAGACCACTTGGCTCCCTGGTTTCAGACCCTTTTCCAAGGGAATGAAAGGTTCTGTCTCATTGGTGTTCCAGGCACCACTGGGGTATTAAAAAAAATTCCTGCAGCTAGCTCAGTGTCTGTCCAAACAGCTGCCCAGTTTTGTGCTTGAAACCCAGGGCCCTGGTGGTATAGGCACCCAAGGGAATCTCCTGGTCTGTGGTTTGTGGAGCCATGGGAAAAGTGTAGTATCTGGCCTGGAATGGCAAAGTCCCTCACGGCTTCCCTTGGTTAGGGGATGGAGTTCCCCAACCCCTTGCACTTCCAGGGTGAGGCAATGCCCCACCCTGCTTTGGCTCATCCTCCGTGGGCTGCACCCACTGTCTAACCAGTCCTAATGAGATGAGCAGGGTACCTAAGTTGGGAATGCAGAAATCACCCACCTTCTGTGTTGATCTTGCCGGGAGCTGTAGACTGGAGCTGCTCCTATTCAGCCATCTTGACCAGGAATCCTCACAAAGTATCTTTTATGAGCACAATGAAATGAATCTACAAATTGATATCGGAAAGAAAACCAGAAAATTCACAAACACGTAAATTAAACAACAAACTCTTAAACAAACAAAAAAAAGGGTCAAAGAGGTAATCACATATTAAATAAGTCAATTTTTCAAAATGAATAAAAATGATAACACAACATACCACAATTTAGGGAATGCAGCTAAGAAAGTGCAAGGAATAAAATTTATAGCTATAAATCCCTACATCGAAAAAGAAATCAGATCTAAAAGCAATAGCCTAGCTCTACATTCTGAGGAATTAGAAAAGAGGCATAAACAAGCCAAAAGATAGATAGCAGAAGAAAGGAAATAATAAAGAATACAACAAAGATAAATTAAGTAGAATATAGAAAAATAATAGGGAGAATCAACAAAACCAAAATTTGATTATTTTAAAAGATTAATAAAATTAAGAAACCTTTAGCTAGGGTAATAAAGAACAAAGAGAGAAGACACAAATAAACCAGAAATGAAAGTGGAAATATTATTGACCTTAAAGTAATAAAAATTATTACACTACTATAAAAGTTGTATGCTAACAAATTATATAACCAAAATGAAATGGGCACCTTTCTAGACATATAAATTACTTAATTTCGCTCAAGAGGAATTAGAAAATCACAACAGATCTATAATAAGCAAGTAGATTGAATCAGTAATTAAAAACGTCTCAACAACAAAAAAATTCAGATAGCTTCACGGGTACATTTTATCAACCATTCCAAACATTTAATAAAAAATGAACACCAATCCTTCTGAAAAGCTTAAAATTACAGAAGAGGAAGGAACATTTTCCAACTCATACTATTAGCCTAACATTAGCCTGATATTAAAGCCAGATAAGACATCACAAGAAAATTGCCGGACAATATTCTTTATGAATGTAGATACAAAAGCCTTCAATGAAATACTGTCAACCTGGACCCAATAGTGTAGTAAAAGGATTATACACCATGACCTAGTGGGATTTATTCCAAGATTCAAGGGTTAGTCAATATAAGAACATCAGTGTAATAACTCTACATTAATAGAATGAAGGAAAACATAAATGAACAAAATATGATCATCTCAATTGACAATAGGCATCTGCCAGAATTCAACACCTTTCCATGATAAAAACATCCAGAAAACTAGAAATAGAAGGGAACTTCCTTTATATGTTAAAGGACATTTTTTTCTTTCATCTTTTTGTTTCTGGAAACTGGGCTTTGTCACTCTCTCTCTCTCTTTTTTGAGTTCAGCTATATATTTATTTATTCTTGTTATATTAAACTTCAATCAATTTAAAAGTATACAGTAATTGTTACTGAATATAGACAAAGGATATTGGTGTCAATCAATGAATTATAAATGGTGAAGGAAGAAATCTCTGATGCAGAAATATTTTAAATTAATTATGTACATACCATAGCCTAGAAGATAGGAAGCATAACTCCTCGTCTTTTAGGTGTGGCCTGTGCATTTCAGAGTACAGTATAGAAAAGAAATAAAAGAGTAACTTTATAGTAGAGAAATCTGGCAAATACTAGTTCAGCCAGGTGATCCAGGTCAACATCTATACTCATAAACCATATTGATAGTATGTACCCTTGATATTATAGGATGTAAATAGCACTTTATCTCTGTAGTCTTACTTCTAAAACACATAACTCCAGTGTAATCCTGAGAAAAATGTCAGACAAACTGTATTAGCAGGATATCTACAGTATACCTTACAAGTACTCTTCAAAACTGTGAGAGCCATCAATAACAAAGTATGAGAAGCTGTCACAGTGCTGAGGAGCCTAAGGCGACATGATTACCAAGTGCAATGTGATATCCTGGATGGGATCCTGGAAGAGAAAAAGGAAATTAGGTAAAAACTAAAGAAATCTGAATAAACTATACACTTTAATTAATTATAATATATAAATATCAGTCTGTTGATGTTTACAAATGTACCACTCATGTATAAATATCAGTCTGTTAATGTTTACAAATCTACCACTCAAGTGTCTAATTTTAATAATAGGAAAAATAATGTATGAGGGGCACAGTGGAAATCTGCAGTTCTGCACAATTTCTCTGGGAATCTAAAACTTGAAAAAAATAGTCTATTAATAATACCAACACAGAAGCAAGTTGAGGCATTTGTTTTTGGAATTCAGGGTTAAAGACAGTTGCTTCAGGGAGAGGTGCAAGTCACTATCTGACACTGGCACTGGAAATTTTTCTTTTCTTCTCAGTTACTGGTCATTCTTGGAAAGTCAGGTGATACCCCTCAAGTAAATTTTCCCCAAAATGGAGCTAAAAATATACCCTGAGGGCAGACATAAATAAAAGGGCCAAAAGAAGGAGAGAAATACAAAAGTCAATGTTAGTCTCTTTCCTCACGTCTCCACCTTTTCTTCTGTGTTCTCAATATATTGATTTTCTGAAGGCATCCTTCACCATTGCCATCTGTGAGTGATATTACCACTGCTGGTCATGACCTTCCACAATGAGGATATTTGAACTAGATAGCTGGCAGGGTGCAGTGCCTTGAGAGGCCAGTGAGGACAGAGATTTTTGCTGACTCTGAACTCAATCTTCCTCACTGAAGTGAAAGTTTAAATTAGATTTTCAAATAGGGTATATGCAATTGTGTATTTCCTCATAATTTTTCCCTTGATGTGATGATTGCTTTCCAACAGGACAAAGCATTGTGACACGTAATATTAACCTAAGTGATATCTTTCCAGGCTTACAAGTGTGCTTGTTTTACTTTGTTATTTCCTGAAGACTTCCTTTACACTTCTCTTGATTTCTGCCATTTTTATAATAATGTATGGTAAGAACAACATTGTGGGTACTAATTATATATTCTTTCAAACAAAGAATGCTATTATGTTTGCTTTCTTCTGAGGTAGCTTATGCATACATTTTTGTTGCCCTTTTAGCTTTGAGATCATATTAAGTTGAAATTTTAAAAGTGACTGTCGCGGGCGTGGTGGCTTATGCCTGTAATCCCAACACTTTGGGAGGCCGAAGCAGGCAGATCACCTGAGGTCGGGAGTTCGAAACGAGCCTGACCAACATGGAGAAACCCCGTCTCTACTAAAAATACAAAATTAGCCAGGCGTGGTGGTGCATACCTGTAATCCCAGCTACTCAGGAGGCTGAGGCAGGAGAATCTCTTGAACCCGGGAGGCAGAGGTTGTGGTGAGCCGAAATCACACCACTGTACTCCAGCCTGGGCAACAAGAGTGAAAGTGAAACTCCGTCTCAAGAAAAAAAAAAAAAAATGACTATTAGAACCCATTCTTGAATTTGGCTAATTGATTAGAGAGAGACAAAAATGTTATAAGCAATTTCTCATTATTTTCTCTTATTTGCCTTGACTTTGATTGTGGCTGCCACTGTTCTTCTTAATAATTCAATTAGCCAATACTTACAGAGCCATCTGCTCTGCATCAGACAACATTCTATGTATTGCTAGACCAATAACAAGACTGATGACCTAAACTTTACATTCTAGTGAGGTAGCAGATAATAAACAGTAAACATGTAAGTATATCATATAGTATAGGAAGTGATAAGTAACATAGAGAAAGAAAAATCAGTTTTAGAAGATAGGCCAAGAGCAACAGTTTTATAAACAGTGGTCTCTGAGGAGACAGCAATTGCTCAAAACCTGTGTGAGAAAAGTAAGCCACACAAATATCTCAATATGGTCTGGGTAGAAATAAACTCAATTAGAAAGATTCTAGGCAAGAGCTTGCCTGCTTTTATTGAAAAACAGTAAGCATTTTTGAGCAAATAAAGTTGGACAGAAGGTAGTCATTGGCCAGATCGTAGAAGAACATAAAATATGATTACAATGCTCTCCATTATTTGAATATCTTGCATAATAATGATGTGGTCTTATATTATCTTTTTTCTTTTTCTTTTTTGAGAATGAGTCTCACTCTGTCTCCCAGGCTGGAGTGCAGTGGCACAATCTTGGCTGACTGCAACCTCTGCCTCCCAGGTTCAAGTGATTCTCCTGCCTCAGCCTCCCGAGTAGCTGGGATTACAGATGCTTGTCACTGCACCTGGCTAATTTTTTTTTTTTTTTAAAGTAGAGACGGGGTTTCACCATGTTGGCCAGGCTGGTCTTGAACTACTGACCTCATGATCCACCCACCTCGGCCTCCCAAAGTGCTTGGATTACAGGTGTGAGCCACCACACCTGGCCATATTATCTTTAAGTCTCAGGTTCCTCATCTTTGAAATCAACTAATATTATGTGTTTATTGTTATAAGTCAAAGACAGAAATTTGAAATGAGGCCTACGATGCTGATTATATTTTGTTCTTTGATCCAGGTGATAGTTAAATAGATATGATCACCTAGTGAACACTCAAGACTTATGCACTTGTCTGCGTGTAATGTACACAAAAATGTGTAACTACTTAGTAGTAGTCTTATAAAAATAAACAAGATAATATGTGTGTATATATATGTAGTGTTAAGCAAAGTACCCAGTACATGTTGGCCAAAACAAATGTCATCTCTCTCCTCCTGCCTTTTGTTCACTTTTTTTCCTAGCCGAACAATCCTAGAGATTTTAAAGTACTTCTGCTTGTTTACTTTTGTTTCCAAAAAAGTTAATTATAAAGCAAATAAACTCGCTTTAGGAAAAATGCAAAAAATCTGATAATATGCTCATTTATAAATAAAAAAGCAAACAAAACCTCTAAATTGAAACAACAGCCACCAGCCTACTCCCATCCTTTCCAAGATATTCTAATTCTCCTCTTCCTTTTCTCCAAGGCATTTTCCTAAGGATAGCTCCATTTTATCTTTTACATATACTTCTTTTCTTTTCCTATATTTTTCCACCTTCTTCTAATTTTCTTTGCTTTTCTATTGATTGTGGGTTAAGTAAGAAAAAAAGGCAAGGGTGGCAGTCAGAGTGCGTGCAGAATTCTTCAAAGCAATGAATGTTGAGAAAAGCCGTGTATATTTAGAAGTTAATGGTCTCCCCTCTAGATTTCTATGCAGCTTGAATTCCTCAGTGTTTCTGAACTTCTTGTGTTTTTCTCTTATCTTTTAAATAATACTCTGCTACTGTTTTTCTCTAGATTACCATTTCAGTGGATTTGAAAAATCTCTTTCCATTATTTTTCTTTTCTCCTTACTTCTTTCTTCCCCTTCTCTTATTTTTTCTCTTTCTCTCCAACTTCATCTCTTTATTAATTTCCTTCTCTCCTTTTAAGTTTTGGTAACTGTTTTTCATTTGGCCAGCTCTCAGTATACCTTATTTGTGTTGGGTACCAAAGCAAACATCCTCACCAGTGATGCAAGACTGAAGAAGTGTGATCATTAGCTCTGCAATCACAACCACAAAACACCTGTGGCTTGCCTAAAACCTTCTTCTGTTAGACCCTTTCCTTACTTGGAAACAATCTCATCTTAAGAAATCAAGCAATACTTGAAGAAATTTTGAGGAACCCATAAGCAAGAAAAACTGTATACTCATTTCCCTTAACATGATACCATTTCACAGTTACCTGTGTGGTGCTTTTCATTGCTATAGAAATCGAATTAAACTCAGTGTGATTGTAGCATAATGGGATACTTCACTTGAGAAAGGGGATTTTTATAATTTGGAGAAGCATTGAGAGTCAGCAGTGAATATTCATGACACGGGCTAGGACCATTTAAACAGACGACTTCTAGGAGAGTCTCTTGAGGACATTTAATCTCTTGTGCTTGACCATCCTGACCCAAGGTGAGTTTGAGTCTCAAATACATTAAAATTCTCAAACCATTAGTTTTATTTTGTTCCTGTAAACCTAAAGTTTAACTTTCAGAATACTTTTTCTCATTAGAATTATATGTTTAAAAATTCTTGGTGACATTCCATTCTTCACCTAATCTCACGTTTGTCTTGTTCTGTTTTGTCAAAAATGTTTTCCTAAAAATGAAAAAGAAAACCTCTAGAATGATTAATCGAGTGAGATTCTCAATAAATCTGCAACTAAAACCATCCGTAAGTCCTAACAAGTTTCAATTTTTATCACGTTAGTGTCTTTTAGTAGATAAACTTTGCTCTAGGTCACTATCCAAAAAACTTATGTGAGTTCTGTTGATTGTATCCTGCCTTTGTGTTCCTAAGAGTTGATTTGGGAAGCAAAATCCCCCAAAAATCTATATTCTCAGGCCCATGGATAGTTAGAACGCAGGCTACAGATGTCAAACTCTCTAGTCAGGGGTCATGCCTAATAAAGTGCAGAAGGAATACATTGAACAGAATGTTATACACTTTTAGGGCGTTTTAAAATTTTTGGTCTAAGTCATGTCTCTAGCAGGCTAGACACCTGTTCCAGATATGTATTCTTAATATAACAAAAATTATTTAAATATCTTACCATGTGTCACAGTTACATCAATAATATTTGGAATCATACTGGACCCTTTGAAAATTTTCAGTATGAGTAAAAATGTTTATCTTAGAAGTAAGTGGAGGGGAAACATCCTTATTATTAAGTGCTAAGCCTTTTTAAAATGGTCTATGAAGATTCTAAATAGACTTCTGATTCCAAAATACCTATAACAATGAAGTCTTTGGCCATGGCTAATTAAAAAAAAACATAAAACTCTAGAGACTGTCTCATTTATTAATTTGCCAAATTCTTCTTTCTTTTAACATTTTCTTTATCCCACAGTATCTTTTCTTGCTTTTTGTGCTACCACACTATCAAATTTTACTCTTTTTCTCCCAAATTTCTTTTTCTAACCATCGTCTTCCCCCTCTGATTGTATCTGAAAATAACCACTTGCTTTTCTTCTTTTTTCTTTTTCTTTTTCTTTTCCTTCCTTCCTTCCTTCCTTCCTTCCTTCCTTCCTTCCTTCCTTCCTTCCTTCCCTCTTTCCCTTTCCCTTTCTTTTCTTTTATTTTTTCTTCTCTCTTCTCTTCTCTTTTTCTGGGTTGCACTCTGTTACCCAAGCTTGAATGCAATGGCAGGGATCACAGCTTACTGCAGTGTCAACCTCCTGGGCTCAGGTGATCATCCTCCTTCAGCCTCCTGTGTAGCTAGGACTGCAGGCATGTACCACCACACATGGCTAATTTTAGTATTTTTTGTAGAAATGAGAGTCTCACTGTGTTGTCCAGGTTTGTCTCAAACTCCCAGGTTCAAGCAATCCACCTGCCTCAGCCTCTCAAACTGCTGGGATTATAGGCATGTGCCACCATGCTGGGCCTCAAATTGACATTTTCTTAAAAATTGGACTGCCAAACAAGGACATTAGCCCTAGTAGGCAGAAGATACTATCTTGGTCTGTGTTAGAGGCAATTGTTGAAATTTCTCTGAATCTCTATGGGATAGGCATAAATGTACTGATAAATTTGAGCAGTCCTGGGAATCCATAATCTCAATTTATTTGACCAATATCAATTAATACCATGTTGAGAGGTCCTTCTATTTCTGAAGTCTGGTTCAGCAAAAAATAAAAAAAAAAATAAAATACCTGAAATAATGTAGCTATTCCTGAGGTATCATTAACAGAATAGAAACTTAAAAAGCGCATGATATGGAAAAATCTTTGCTGATGGTTATACATGTTAAGTTTCCAGATAACTATTAATTAGACTTGCAGACATAAAAGGCTGTACCAAGTGGATATTTTAGAGATAAATTTTTAGCACTTACAGACAATATTATGAAGTAGCTATGTGGGCATAGAGAAATTCGGGAAATTAGCAGGCTGGTTCTGCTATAATAGATCTCAGTTCACCCTTAGGATATCTTCACTAAAGGAGCTTAACATAGCCCAGATGGTAGATTTGATTGCCCTCATTAGAGCTGGTCACTTGGCCAAAGACAAAAAAAATTATATTTACACAGAAAATAGCTCAAGTACCTGAACCTCAGTATGACTATATATGGGGATAGAGTCTTTAAGGAAGTGATTAAGGTTAAATAAAGTCATAATGATGGGGCCCTAATCTGATAAGATTAGCGTCCTTCTAAGAGGAGGAATCAACATCAGGGATTTTTTTTTCTCTCAACCCATGCCCAGAGGAAAGTCATATGAGGACGTAACACAAAGAGAGACATCTACAAATCACAGAGGTTGCACCAGAAATCAACCCTGCTAGCATATCGATCTTGAACTTCTAGTCCCCAGAACTGTGAGGAAATAAATTTTTGTTGCTTATGCCACCAGATCTGTGACATTTTGTTATGGAAGTCTGAGCTGACCAATACACTTGAATAACTATCAGTGTCAATGTAAAACAAGCCATCTTTAGACTTAAGGAAACAGTCACCTGGCTCTCTAAGGCAGATGCAAATGGATTTTTCTTTGCCCGGGTTTAGTAATTCAGATTATGGCACTAAGTGTTTTGGGAAGGCTCCATGTCATTTTGATATAGTCACTGTGTGTTGCCATTCTTATGCATGTATTCTCCACAGTCTCAGTCCTGCTCTGCAGCTGCTCTCGTGTCAAATGATCCATCACTCAACGGAAATGAACTCATCACTCCATAAAAGGAATAGGAAGATCAGTCCATGATCCAATCCCAAACTATTTTTTCTGAGGATGATAATGTTATCTAGAAATCACAACAGTGGTATACATCTGAACATGGCTGCTTTAGTAGCTGAACGACTCTTCTCATCTTCTCATCAGTTAGGAAAGACTGAGAACTGGTAGCATAAATCCATCAATTATGGGATTGCAATTGCAGAATGTTTTGTGACTCACATAATGTTTTCTTCTTTACTCAGAACTTCTCTATTTCACAGATTCTCACCTTAATAATTGAAGCAACTCAGGGTCACATCCTAGTTCTATAATTCTGCCTGAGGCACTCTGAGCCCAAACCATCAACAGGAAACAAACAAATAAAAAACCTGCTAATTTACTCTCCAATGAAACCTTTCCAGAATTATCTGTGTAGAGTTTCCTATTGCTGCAATAATTAATAAACTCAGTTTGCTTATATTGCAAATTTTAAAACTCGTAGTGGGAGATTTCCAGTTGCAAACAACAAGTCTTGGCTTTAATTATGAGTTCAACCAGTTTTTTTTCTCCTAATGTTTTAAATCTCAGTTCATCATAATGTCTGAGCTTGTCTGATTTTGGCATAGGGAATATAATTAGAAGTAGTGAATGAAGGCCTAGCTGTTGCTTTGATGTCAGCAGACACCCATTTCTCTTTCCAAACTGCTTTTAAAAAGTCAAACAACTTCCTTCTCTTCTTGCCTCACTCTCTACTTAATGTGATTTTCTTTTAATTTATGAAGGAAATAAAATCATTGCTTTTTAAGAATCATCCAACCAAGTCATTAAAGATATCTGGAATTCAAGATGTAGTCAAAATATTTCAAGGGCATTACAATATCCTCTGTCTTCTCTAATCTCTCAGGCAGTAAAACGGTACCAAGTGCAGAGATAGAAACACTGCTGTCAAAGTGGGTTAAAATCTTGACAGTATCGTGGCTTCTGATTTTAATTTCTCAATTAACTTATACAAATGAATAACTACCGTTATAGAAATAGCTTCTGGATTTCTTTGTCCTTTTTTTCCTGAAGTTAGGCTATATTTGGTATCTCTATAGAGATAGGCTATATTTGGTAAATCTGTTCTCACCTCACATAAAAGGTTAATATTCTACAAGTGGATAGATGTGGTGAGGACAACTAAAAGGAGATTGAATGATCTCATCAAATTATATTACACAACCTTTCAAAGAAAGCTCAGTTGGATTAAGAGGTTTCTTTATGTTCATGCCCAAAATGCCAAATTCCAACAGCCCACAAAATTTCTTTGAAGTATTTTTCTCATACGTTTGTTTGATGAACAGCTTAAAGCTCCATTTCCATCCTAGCAAGTGGCAGACAAAAAGCCAGATAGTAAATCATATTTTAATAAAAATGATTTTAATAAGTGAAAGATATGATCCATTAAGTTAATCTTGTTAAGTAGAAGACCAAAATGAGAACTTAATGGGGTGCAAACATCACGGAGAATCAAAACACACACTAGAAACCATACTTGAGAACCAGAGATGAGTGAATGTTTGGTCATCAATATCCATGCTAGCCTTAATCTTGTGGTTATCCCACCACATCCCCCTTTTCAACAGAAGTCAGTGAGCAGCAAGCCTCATTGAATGTTGGATATTAGCAAGCACATGTAGTTTTGCTTCAAGTACTCTTTATTTTCTTCCAATCCTCAGGGCCTTTCTCAACATATGGTTTATTATAGCGTTGTGAATGATTGGTCTTTCATAAGGACATTTTCCTTGGCAGAAGGCTATTTGAAGTTCATTGCTTTTACAAGGTAAGATTTCTGGAAGTTCTAAGCTATATAAATAGGTTTGGAGGAACTTTCTCTTAAACCACAGAAACTATTAATACTCTTGAGCAGGTGAGCTTATCAGATTCCTTAGTAGTCAACCAAAATGCTGAAGGATTTTTCTTTTTTTTTTTTTTTTTTTTTTTTTTTGAGATGATGGAGTCTCACTCTGTCACCAGGCTGGAGTGCAGTGGTGCGATCTCAGCTCACTGCAACCTCCGCCTCCCGGGTTCCAGCAATTCTTCTGCCTCAGCCTCCTGAGTAGCTGGGACTACAGGGGCATGCCCACCAGGCCCAGCTAAGTTTTGTATTTTTAGTAGAGATGGGGTTTCACCAAGTTGGCCAGAATGGTCTCGATCTCTTGACTTCATGAGCCGCCTGCCTTGGCCTCCCAAAGTGCTGGGATTACAGGCTTGAGCCACCGTGTCCGGCCAAGAATTTTTCTAATGAGGTATGTGCAAAGCAGAAACATTTTATGTTAAGTACAGGCATGGCCACAAAAATATCACTTAAGAAGAGAAGAATTTTGGGGTTCTCAGTGTAACATGGAGATGAACAATATCTCACTCTTTTGAGGATAACAATAGATTTCTCTCTTCTGCTTTTGCAATGATTAAAATTTTGGAAATTTATATGAGAAAAGTAAAGATATTTTAAAAAGTTTTCTTGTTTTTTTTAACTCTTTATTCTCTTAAATCTTGACACTGTTCGTTGTAAGTTTGTGCTAGATACAGCCACTGTTTGGTTGAGAAAATTTCTCTATGTCTGTGACATCCATGAGATAGAAACCGATGGCTACATATGGCTATTTAAATTAAATTAATTAAACTTACATAAAATAAAAACTTGGTTCCATAGTTGCACTAGACACATTTTAGGGCTCAATAGCCATAGTATAAACAGCATAGTATAGAACTTTCTATCAGAGAAAGTTTGTCAGGGAGCTGTGCTAAAGGTGGTTTTCAAAATATAGCTGTAGCCTGAGAATATTTCTATACTATTTTAATCAATTTTAACTAATTAATTAACTACATTATACTTTGTTAACATAAAGTCAAAGGCATCTACTTCTGCAATTGGGAGGTAATAACTTGCAATATAAAAATAGATGAGGCAGGTTGTGGTGGCTCACGCCTGTAATCCCAGCACTTTGGGAGGCCGAAGTAGGTGGATCACCTGAGGTCAGGAGTTCAAGACCAGCCTGGCCAACATGGTGAAACCCCCGTCTCTACTAAAAATACAAAAAAATTGGCCCGGCGCAGTGGCTCACGCCTGTAATCCCAGCACTTTGGGAGGCCGAGGCGGACGGATCACGAGGTCAGGAGATCGAGACCATCCTGGCTAACACGGTGAAACCCCATCCCTACTAAAAATACAAAAAATTAGCCGGGCGTGGTGCGGGCGCCTGTAGTCCCAGCTACTGGAGAGGCTGAGGCAGGAGAATGGCGTGAACCCAGGAGGCTGAGCTTGCAGTGAGCCAAGATAGCACCAATGCACTCCAGCCTGGGCAACAGAGTGACATTCCGTCCCCCCCCCAAAAAAAAAAAAAAAAAAGATGACAGTTATCTTACCTAATGGTGACATATTGACAGTACCCCCTTTGAGAAAATAGACAATATACAATATAATCTGTCTTACTGTTGCAACTGAAAACATTTTCCACTTAATATTTTTAAGTGACGCCCAGGTAGAATAAAACATGAAAAATAAATGAAAGTAAAGAAATTAGAAAACAATAACAAGTCATTAATATATGTCAGGTATGAAAAATATCTAAACCCTACTATGGTTAAATGTTGTTTTACGTAAAGAAGTTTCTGAAGAACCTTAAATCAACAGATTAAAGATACTAGTATGTTTCTACATAAAATAACAGACAGAAATGGAATGATCTGATTTCTAATAGTATCAAAATAGAGATATCAAGATAAATTTAAGCAAGATTTTTAAAAATATGTTTTATGAAGAATGTTTTTATGGGAACATATAAAATAATTGAGGATCAGTAAATAAGACCTAAATAAATGGAGGATTATACAATATTTCTGGGCCACAAATTCCAATAGTGTAACCATGGCAGTTCTCTAAAATTGGTCTATAGATAGAAAACCATCCCAATAAAAATCCTGACAGTGGATGTGTTCATGTGCCTGTTTGTGAGTGTGCATGTACTTAAATTGATAATCTGAATTTTAACAGTTACATGCAAGTAAAAAGGACCTTGCTATCAAGATGTATTTGAAGAAAAAAATGGAAGAATTTATTATATTTCAAGACTTTCAATAAAGCTATAATAATTATGATAAAGTGGAATTATAAAGGAATACAAATAGAACAATGTACCAAAATAGGACTACAGGCTCACTGGGATAAATGTAGACACTTGGTAAGTCTATCACGGTCTCCTTTCTGGTCACCAAATATTTGATATACTTCCCCTCTCACTGACAAAATATACTCCCTTTAAATAATCTATTCAGCTATATCAACAAACTCAAGCACCATTATATCTGGGTGAGGTATGATAGGTTATAACTTCAATTAGGTATGAATCCTATTAAACTAAAAACATAAGTTGTATATTCTCCACAGTTGCAATATACAATTGTGGTTTAGGGAAAGTGTAATAGTACTAAGGACTGCTATTTAGAAAAGAGTAATAGAGAACACAAAAAATTCATGTCTGTCTCAATTCCAAAATTTTGTTGGGCAGACATTTCAAAGACCTCCCTACCCGGAGATTAGTAGTTAGCAAAAACTTTTTTAGGACTGAATTTCATTCTCTTCAAGAAATTTCCTAGTTCCTTTGTGTGTGTGTGTGTGTGTGTGTGTGTGTGTGTGTGTGTGTGTGTATGTTGCTGTGAAGGGTCTGAGATTGTACCATACTTGTAGACTAATAAGTTAGTCTGCCACAGTTTCATAGATGCTGGCAGAAAACATGAGAATTCTGAGATAGACACAAAGAACTTATTATTCGCAGCAATAGCACTAGGCAGAATATCAGCATTTTCCTGTTCCTGTTCCTGGAGTCCTCATTCCCACAGAGTGATACAAATAGGGACAGCTGACTCCTGCGCACACAGCATGATGTATTACAGAAGCAGAACCATGAATTTAGGGAACTCAAGTCTTTGATAATGGGCAGTAAGAAAGTCTGATCCAGAGGAAGATGTTATATTTATTGTACTGGACAGAAAACATTCATGACTTTTGCCTGAAGAGACATTATTTTGATGTTCCAAAGCTGTTTGCTATACAAATATCTTTGCTAAGATGGTCCAAAACAAAGTCAGTTAGTGCCTCCACTAGCAAGACGGAAAGAAACATGAGAAGCCTATGGAGAGTTGTCTTCTAACACTTCTGTTTTTGTGCTAATCCTTGGCCACATCTGACATAGGCATTGGAGAGTAAGTCCCCCAGGGAACAAGGAACAGGGAGCTGGGGAAATGTTTCTTGTTTGTAAAAGGCTTAGGTCCTAAGAATTTTTGTACATACAGTCAAAAACATTTTTAGTTCAGGTACACTGTGTCTTTGGCAGACAGATTCTTCAAAACCTGGCTTCAAAAACTTAGCTTCTTACCCCTTTGATCTTGAATAGTTTAATATGTTCTTATCATATGCATATATCTTTTCCACATATGCCTTTTCTCTGAATTTAGTGTGGATATTCTAAGCTAATCAGTGTGGTGGGAAAGCAATATCCTTAACCTTGGGAAATTTTTTTCTACTGTTAAGATTTCCTCCGAATTTCAAACCATTCAGAGATTTTAACCATGGGTGTCTGAATATAACTTAGATGTTATATTTGCCATTATGCTGAGCTCTAGTTGGCCTCTCTTGCTCAGAACACTTCTCCAACCTATATTTTACTCTTAGTATTGAGAAGTTGCTATGTCCAGCTCTCTAAGCCCCCAAATTCCCGAACTCTTTGTATTCTCACTAATTCCTAATTGCAAATGCGAGATTTGCTTTTTCTTAGAGGAACCATAGCAAATGCAATCAAATAGAAGCCAATATGCTATTGCCATTATTTTTCCAAACTCTAACCCTAAAATCATAATATGTACTATATATATTACCTGCTTTTCAACTCACCGCAAGCAAAAATATTGTCAAATATTTTGCCTCTGTAAAACGTGGATCATCATGTTTTCAGCTCTCCATAACAGTTTTCTTTCTGCTTTCATTCAGTCATATATTTTAGGTTTCTTTTTAAAAAATTATGATGCTACCCTAATTCTACGTACCAGTTTTCATAACATGCTCTGTAACAGTTTCTATAAAAAGTGATCATCGAAATCTTAGTTGTTTAATGCGAAGATTTCTTTCTCGCACGTCATGTATGACTATTGGGTGTTGGTGGGAGTATTTGACTCATAGTAGTCTCTTAGCAACCTAAGCAGACAAATCAGCTACCATTTTGAATGTTGCGGGACACTAATCGAGATGAGGAAAAGAAGTCGGACGGGGGTTGTGTTTGGCACCAGCAATTAAATGCTCTAGCTCAGGGAAGACGTGTTTTTCTTGCACTCATGGCCATAACTAGTCATACACCTCACTCAACCACAAGGGGTCAGCAGGTACAACTGGCCACAAATCTACGTGGTGAGAATTCTGAACTAACTGGTCAGCAAAATTAATAAAAACAAAAACCTCTCCAACTCCCTGTCCCATGTTCCCTAGAAGACTTATTCTCCAGTGCCTACTTCAGAGGTCACCAAGGATGAGGATGAAAACATTAAGATGAAGCATTAGGTGACAATTCTCCATGGGTTTTTCATGTTTTTGTGACAGTAGTTCTCAACTGGGGGCACTTTTATCCCTCAAAAGACATATAGAAATGTGTGAAGACATTTTTGGTTGTCTTCACAATTGGGAGACAACCCAAAATCAGAGAGGGGCTGAGTTTCTGGCACCTAGTGAGTATAGGCCAGGGATGTTACTAAACATCCTGTAAAGCACAGAGCAACACCCTCCCACACATGCCAACAAAAGTTATCCCGTCAAAGATTTTATAGTGCTGAAATGGAACAACTGTATCTTAGAGAAAGTCATCCATTTGTACTGGAATATACACTCAAGAATATTAATAACTTTGTTTTTAATAGATCAATAGTAGAATCAATAAATACAAATACATTTTCAAAATAAACCAAGGTTATATAGAGTAACACAATTGTGGATCACAAACTATTGAGCGAAGAAAGTGAGTTATAAAGGAGTATAATGGCATACTCCATTTATGTATAGTTTGAAAGTAAGCAAAAGTAAAACATTAATTTTAGGGAGACATTGGTAGAAGGGAAATATATAAAATAATTATCATCAAAATTGGGAGATCTCCTGTGAGTGGGGAAGGTGAAAGGTGTGATACAAAGAAGTACAATATAAGTATGGTAGAGGATGCTTCCCAACTTCCAAAAAGTTCTGTATATTCACAAAAAATAATTGCATGCGTATTCACTTCATAATGAGGGAAGACGAAAGGCTGGAGTTTAAATCCAGTATGTCTAGTGACCTGTGCCTCTTTAGAATGACAATCTAAGCCTGAGAACACATGCATTTTGGATAGTGGTTTTGTACCTAATCTGATTAAATATTTAGCTGAATGCTGCTGCTGGAATATCACTGCTTCTGCCACAGATGCCACAGGAAATATGAGGGTATGCATCACACCCAAGGCCTAAGCAGAAAACTTAAACAGAGAATGAAAAATAAGATAGAGGTCTGGGAATGAACAGAGAAAAGCTAACGTGCAAGAAGTTAATAACAGGGAGCTTAGGAGTTGATTTGAGGAAAGGCATTATGTGTATCTTTCAAATGGTTCTCTGAATAATTAGGAGCAGGTGGAGAATGTGGCTGCTAAAAGCTCTGCACTCGTGTGTCGTCTATAATCTAGATAACAGAATTCAACACTTGACTAGGCAGTAGAGTGAAAAATATGTGTGTTTGAGGCAAGACAAACCAATACTAGAATATAAGTTCTTCTGCTTTCTAAATATGTGACCTCAGGAAAGTAACTGAATTCCAAAATCTTAATAGTCTCAATAAAAAGTAGGGATAATTACATTTACTTACTAGGGCTTTGTGAGTTAATGTATAAGAAGCCACTGGTATGATGCCTAGCATAAGATAATGGTTCAATAAATAGCAATAGCTGCCATTATTGTTAATAATAGTATTATTGTTGTTATTCAGAGTCATTGTACCTGATATTTACTAATATGTCCTCTGCAAATGTCAGCAAATGCTTTGGATTGACTATTTCACATGACATGCTACATGTTTTATCTTTATTCATTGTTTTTTTTTCCTTCTACACAGTTGTTAAAGCAGGAGGAATAAGAAGGAGATTTCACTATTGTAGAACACACCAGAGACAATCTATTTATACAAGATATATTGATTGATAAAACTTAAAAGTAAGCAAACAAACACTATTATTTAAAAAATAGGCAAAATAGAGCTGGACGTGGTGGTTCACGCCTATAATCGCAGCGCTTTGGGAGGCCGAGGTGGAGGATCACTTAAGCCCAGGAGTTTGAGACCAGCCTGGGAAATATTGGGAGACCCTGTCTCTACAAAAACAATTTTAAAAATAGGAAATAGGCCAGGCACAATGGCTCACTCCTGTAATCCCAGCACTCTGGGAGGCTGAGGTGGGTGGATCATGAGGTCAGGAGTACGAGACCAGGCTGGCCAATATGGTGAAACCCCGTCTCTACTAAAAATACAAAAAAACTAGCTGGGCGTAGTGGTGTGCACTGGTAGCCCCAGCTACCCGGGAGGCTGAGGCAGGAGAATTGCTTGAACCCAGGAGGCAGAGGTTGCAGTGAGCTGAGATCGCACCACTGCACTCCAGCCTGGGTGACAGAGGGAGACTCCATCTCAAAAAAAAAAAAAAAAAAAAAAGGAAGAAAAAAAGAAAAAAAATTTTAAAATGGACAAAATACTTGAATATGAATAACCACTGCACCAAAGAAAATATACAGATGACAAGTAAGCATATGAAACTGTTCAACATCTTATGTCATTAGAGAATTGCAAATTAAAACAATGAGATACCACTATGCACCTATTGGAATGGCCAGAATCCAGAACATTGACAATAGCTAATGCTGGTGAGGATGTGGAGCAACAGGAACTCTCATTTATCGCTGGCAGGAATGCAAAATGGTACAGCCACTTTGGAAGACAGTTTAGTGGTTTTTTACAGAATTAAACTTCCTTTTATCCTGTAATCCAGAAATCATGCTTCTTGATATTTACCCAAATTGATTGAAAACTTAAGTCTACAAAAAATCCTGCACAGCAGATGTTTGTAGCAGCTTTATTCATAATTGCAAAAATTTGGAAGCAACAAAAATGTCTTTCAGTAGGATAATGAATAAATAAACTGTGGTACCTCCAGACAATCATTTGGCACCAAAAAGAAATAAGACATCAAGCCATGAAATGAGATGGAAGAAACAAATTTATATGATGAAAAGAGAGAGATCAAACTTAAAAATCTATAAACTATTAATATATACATTCTAACTCTAAGACCTTCTAGAAAAGAATAAAACTGGGAAGACTCCATCTCAAAAGGAAAAGATCAGTGTTTGCCAAGAGTTAAGGGGATGAATAAGTGAAGCCCAGAGAATTTTTAGGATAGTGAAACTATTTTGTATGAGAATACATTGATAGATACATGTCATTATGCATTTGTCAGACTCCACAAAAAGTATAACACTAAGCATAAACCCAGTGGAAACTCTCAACTTTGCCTGATAATGATGCATCAATATAGGCTCATCAATGGTAACAGACAAGTTACCGTGGTGCAGGATGTCAGTAGTGGGGAAGGTTTTGTGTGTGTGTGTTTGAGAATGAGGGTATATATAAATTCTGAAATTTCCACTTAATTTTACTGTGAACCTGAAACTTCTTTACAAAATAAAGTTTAATAATTTGGAAAAAAGGACTTGAGCTGATTTGAATTAGAAAAAAATGAAAAATTTAAGTTGTGAAAGATTGCTTTCTACGTTGATTAGTTGGATATCTACATTGATTCTCATGGCATGATATATAACATAAACTGTTCTGGTGAAGAGTTGTACAATTAATCACAGGAAAATGAGGCAAACAGAAAGTTAATCTAACATTAATGTTCTCTATTCCATGAAAGCAGGCTGAAGAATGCTGCAAATACTCCATTTCACTTCATTCGTCTTGCTTTTTCACAGAGAGATGTGCGTAATTAAATCCAAGTGTATTTCCAGAAACATGTGACTCAAAAAGACATTCACGTCTTCTCATCTTTCTGATAACTTCGTGAAAAGTTATTGAATGAATTAAGCTAACACCTCACTATAATGACACACATCTATATGAAAGTTGCTGTAGGGCAGCTATGACTAAGTCAGGCTGCTGGGGTTGCCTCTGAGCCAACTTTTGACAGGATTTTTGACTTCTCTTCTCCCCACCCACCTTTTGTTTTTAAATTGTTCAAAATGTGACCATAAAACAAGAAGAAACTACAGTTTGACTTAGTTCCCAAAAAGGAAAACATCCAAAATAGAAGTAGAAAAAGACACCATGGTGCATGTCTGATCTACATCATAGATATAGTCCCATTGATTTGTTGCCTCTCAGTTCCAAGTCACCCCTTCTTTGTCCTATGTTGTAATACTGAAGCTTTACCCTGTAGACATTTCTCCTTTGCAGCTGTCTCAATGTTAGTCTTTGTCAATAGAAAGAGCGGAAGGGACACTGACAGATGAAGGGGTTTCCTGCTTCTAGTGTGCTGTTTTTGAGGACATGACAGCCAGCAAATCACAGGAGAGGTCTGACAATGCTTACTTCAGGACCTTCATAGACTAGCTGTGGTTCTCACCAGGCAGCAAGTGTATCCCACCCAGTAGGCCACACCTCTACGAGATCTCTGCCCTGCTCCCGAAGGCTGGTTTCCTCATCACCTGAAGGCTGGTGTTCTTGTGGCAGCCATACTTTCTCCAAAGAGGTCTGAATTTCAGATGGGTGTAGGCGTTGGGAACAGGCCCCCAAATCTGGCCATAAACTGACCCCAGAACTGGCCATAAACAAAATCTCTGCAGCACTGTGATATGTTTATGAAGGCCATGACACCCACGTTGAAGGTGGTGGGTTTACCAGAATGAGGGCAAGGAACACCTGGCCCACCCAGGGCGGAAAACCGCTTAAGGCATTTCTAAGTCACAAACAATAGCATGAGCTATTGTATATGTTCCTGCTGCAGATAACTAGCCAGAGCCCATCTCTTTGTTTTGGCCCATCACTTTGTTTCCCGTTTTAGTTAATCTATAATCTATAGAAACAATGCTTATCACTGGCTTGCTGTCAGTAAATATGTGGGTAAAACTCTGTTTGTGGCTCTGAGCTCTGAAGGCTGTCAGCCCCCTGATTTCCCACTCCTCACTGTATATTTCTGTGTGTGTATCTTTAATTCCTCTAGTGCTGCTGGGTTAGGGTCTCCACAACCGAGCTGGTCTCAGCAGGTAGGGAGATGTTCTAAGTTCAACCCTTCATTTTGCACTCTCCCTCAGCTCTAGAAATAGTAGCACCCGATTTATGCACTCGCTACTTCTGTGCATCTTAGAATTTTCTTGTTAACTACCTAGTTAACAATTCTGTATGTGAAATTTTCCCTCTTCCAATTCCCAGTATGTTTTATATATACAGATTGGAATCTGACTGATGATTACATATATTATGTATAACTAACATACTAAATGTTCAGCGATAGAAAATCTAAACATGCTGATATGAACCAAATTGCTTTTATTAGCAGAGACTTGGACTAAAACTTGTTCTTCCATAATATTGCTTGGTAATAACGCAACTATTAAACATTTTTTTTTTTTGAGACAGTCTCACTCTGTTGGCCAGGCTGCAGTGCAGTGGTGTGATCTTGGCTCACTGCAACCTCCATCTCTCGGGTTCAAGCAATTCTCCTGCCTCAGTCTCCCGAGTAGCTGGGATTACAGGTGTGCACCACCACGCCCAGCTAATTTTTGTACTTTAGTAAAGACGTAGTTTTGCCATGTTGGCCAGGCTGGTCTCAAACTCCTGGCCTTGAGTGTCTACCCACTTTGGCCTCCCAAAGTGCTGAGATTACAGGTACCCAGCCCTAAAGTGAGCATTTTGCCATCAGTGAAGCTAATAAAAATTTAGTATATCCAAGGTGACTTATTCCATTATTAAAGGTGTGTGTGTGATTGTGTGTTTGTGTTTGTATGCATTTGTAGAATTTGTTTTTTGAAGATAAACCCCTGAGGTAATTTTTGAAACGTTTATGCACTCTGCTATAGTTACGTATATAATTCTGCCTCCTCTATCACTACCATCAGGAAAAAGAAATGATGTTGAATTATTTCAGTCACTATTATACACACATTGTTTTTGTAATTGTCCATTTAATTATATCACTTTTTACTAGAAATAAAATTGCATTGTACTTCACCTATAAAGACAAGCAGTAAGAATTTTAAAATAAATACATGCCTGGTGGATGGAGTAAATTGTAGGACTCAGTACATTTGCTGTTGCTTCTAGATATGCATTTCCCCAAAGTAAAATCAATAAATATTGGTTACAAGGATTTTAATGTATGGGTATAAGTTGTCTGAAAGAAGATACATTTTCACAAAATTTTTGCTTTATTTACCACAGTGAAGAGCACCTATTACCTTCTTGCTAAACAGTTTGTCTCACTTGACATAGCACCATAAAAGGAACATCTTGGAGAAACTTCAAATATTGTGAATTTCTCCTTATTATCTCTTACATACGACTCCGTTCTTTTTTGTCTTCAATTCTAACCCTTGTTTTCTCATTTTACTCCAATTTAAGTCACTTGTTACCTACCTCCTTAATGAATATCCTTGTTACTGTCCTCACTCCTCTGTGTTCAGTGACTAAATAGGAAGACAGTAATATATAATGGATAAAAGCACTTTTCCGGCCGGGCACGGTGGCTCATGCCTTAACCCCAGCACTTAATCCCAGCGGGCAGATCATGAGGTCAGGAGATAGAGACCATCATGGCTAACACGGTGAAACGCTGTCTCAACTAAAAATCCAAAAAATTAGCTGGGCATAGTGGCATGCACCTGTAATCCCAGATACTTGGGAGGCTGAGGCAGGAGAATTGCTTGAACCCACGAGGTGGAGGTTGCAGTGAGCTGAGATCACACCACTGCACTCCAGCCTGGGCAACAAGAGTGAAACTTCATCTCGAAAAAAAAAAAAAGCACTTTTCCACCTTTGTGTTCTGATGTGAGTTTATATCCTGACCACCTCTTTATTAATACACCGTCTTGCTCAGTTCACTTAAATGCTCTAAGTCTTTCTTTAAATAATGATAATAATATGGTCCATGTGGAATTTAAATCTTATAGTTTTATATTAGTCAGCATTCCATCAAGGTAACCCTCTGTAACAAACAACCCCATACTGTCAACAATCATTTATTTATTGGTCACAGTTCTGCAAGTCTTCTGGGACAGCTCTACTTAAGATATGGTTCAGGTTTAGGTCAGTTCCATGTCTTTCACTATGAAACCTGCAGCTACTCAGGCATAATTAGGCATAATCTTATTATTTTGGATGGCTAAAACCCAAGAGGCCATGCTAAACCAAATTTAACTAGACATATTTAAAGTTTTTGTTTATATTACCTTTACTAATATTGCATTGACCAAAACAAGTTTTGTGACTATGCCAAAGCCGGTGGAACAATGATGTGTACTCCACTTATTCCTCAAGGAAGCACTGCCATGAAAAACAGCAAAGTGTGTAGATGAATTAAACCACTGCAGGAAGGAAATGAAGATTTGCAAACTATAGTCCTATGTCCCAAAGCCTTTCTTATTGTTCACAAGCATTTACTTCCCTCTCACATGCAAACTCCTCATCTCAAACAAGACACGTCAAAAGTATCGTCCAGTAACTGCATAATCTCAAGACTCAGATTTCCATGTTTTGCAACATGAATGACTATATGCAGCTTTTCTTTTTTTTGAAAACCTGTGAAGTAAGAAGCCAAGTTGTCTTTCTCCCATACGCGAGGCAAAACAGTTATAAGATTTCTACAAAGACAGTCCCATTTGGAAAGGGGACAAGGTGGTACACAGAAGACTTATTTCTAACAATTCTAAAAATCTCCTGGGAAATGTTAGATCCAGCTACCCAGAGAGTAGGGATATTTCTCCATCAGGCCTCTATTTTGCTCCTTATGAATAGGTCCCAAAGCATTTTCCCCCACAATTCTTGACTCTGCCCTGTAGGACCATTCTTACTATATAATATTATCTTCCATTTCATACATATTGCCTTACGTTGTCCACTTCCACCACTAATCTTGCCGAAAAACAAGTCATCAGGAAGATGCAAACAAACAAGAAACATACAGAATATAACACTTCTCATCTATCCATTTGTCAAAAATAGTTAACATCTGGTGTGGAATTTGCAGAGAAACTTGTCTTTCACTCACACAGTTGATAAAAGTGTAAATTGTTAAGCCACTGGACAGTAATTTGCCAATATCTATTGTGAAAAGTATGCATCCTTTGAATATTTGCTGGAAATTTATCCACTGGATACACTGTCAAAAAATGTCAGGTTATTTATGTGAAGAGTTTATTGCAGCATTTTTTCAATGAAAAAAGTTTAAAAATAATCCAAGTGTTCATTACTATGTCATTGTTTAAATGAAGTATGTTATCTGCATAGAACAGAAATCTCTGTAATTATTGAAGTGAATGAAGGAAATCAGTATTAGTAGATGTTGAGATATGTCTAAGGTATATTTTTACTTGGAAAAGAAAAAGTCACAGACAATGTATAGTGAATAATTTCTTTTATGTAATAAAAATATGGTCAAACACTGATTTGCTCGCACATATTTTTATCCCACTAGAAAGATACAGATGAAAAAGTTAACAAGGTTTGGTTTTGGGGAGAACCACAACTGCGTTTTTTCATAAATTTTAAATTCTTAAAGTTTTTACAATGAGCAAATGATCCTTAAAAACGAGAGAACAAAACTAGAAAAGAAAATTACTATGCCTATAAAGATTTATTTACAATTTTTTTAACAAAAAATATTTCATATGTGCTAAATAAATATACAGATCCTAAGACTTCCTAGGATAGGATAGAGGATGTGAAATGGAATGTAATGGAGAAAGCAGGCTTTGGCCTGGATGCCACATATCAGGTGAAGAGATGGTGATGACCATTTCTATTCTGGGCACTTCTATAAGGAGTTTAGCATGATAATTGGGTGGGTATATCTGTAAGTCAATCCATGAGCTTGTTAATGGAAAAACAAAGCACAGTAAAATATTTAAAGAAGTTTATTCTGACCCAGTATGACAGACCATGGCCTGGGGAACAGTCTCCAGAGGTTTTGAGAAGGTGTGCCTGAGGCAGTCAGCTTACAGTTCGGTTTTATGCATTTTGGGAAACAGAAGTTACAGGCAAAAACACAAATCAATACATGTAAGGTATATGCTGGTTCAGCCTAAAGAGATGTGATATCTTGAAGAGATGGTGTGTTTACAAGTCATAAGTGGATTCAAAGATTTTCTAATTGACAATTGATTGAAAGAGTTAAGCTTTGTCTAAAGACTTGAAATCAGAAGAAAGAAATGCCCAAAGTAACATAAGGGAGGTTGTGAAGACCAGGGTTCTTGTTATGTAAGTGAAGCCTCCAGGCAGGAGGCTTCAGAAAGAATAGACGGTAAATGTCTCTTTTCAGAACTTGAAGACATCAGGCTCTGATTTCATCTCTCCTAGATCCGAGAAAGACCTAGAAAATAAAGTTGGCTGCATTAATGGGATTTTCTACAGGTGCAAATTTCTCACACAAGAGACAATTTTGCAGAATCATTTCAAAACATGTCAAATAAATATATTTTGAGATAAAATATTTTGACTTCCTTCAGGGTCTGCTGTCATGTGATGCTGTACCGGGGTCACACGGGAATTTGGTATAGCATTGCCACAAAGAGTCTGTTCTGTCTTATTGAAGGAGCATCATTTGTCCAGGGAAATACCCAAGGTTCGTTGTCTCACACCAAGGAAATTGAAGACGGAGACACACAGAAATGAGTTTAAGAGGGGAGGTTTAATAGGTGAAAGAAAGAGAAAAAAGAATAGATCTCTTTCCTACAGAGAGAGAGGGGTGCCTGAGTGGGACTTCCAGTCCGTGGTGGAGTGCATGGGGTTTTATAGACTAGCTTGAGGAGGAGGTGTCTGATTTACATAGGGACCAAAGATTGGTTGAACTAGATGTGATATTTACATAGCGTATTAAGAAGCTGGCCACCCCACCCTAATCTTTTTATTATGTGAATGGACTTTATGCTTGGTGGGCGCTATGTTGCCTGCTCCTTACTGCACATGCCGTTAGCCAGGAAAAGGGAAGATGGAGCTGCCATGTTGAACATGCCTAGCCCCAAGGTAGATTTGTCCTATTGGCACAGCTGCCAGCCTTTACCTATGTAAGCTGCCAGCTTGCTTTTCTATGTCTGCAGCTCAATTCTATAGGCTGCTGTTTGTTCGAAAGGAAATGATTTTGGAGTTGCTTTTTTCTTTTTCTTTCTTTCTTTCTTTTTTTTTTTTTTGAGACGGAATTTTGCTCTTGTTGCCCAGGCTGGAGTGCAGTGGGCGATCTCGGCTCACTGCAACCTCTGCCTCCTAGGTTCAAGCAATTCTCCTGCCTCAGCCTCCTGAGTAGCTGGGCTAACAGGCATGCGCCACCATGCCTGGCTAATTTTGTATTTGTAGTAGAGATGGGGTTGTCTCCATGTTGGTCAGGCTGGTCTCGAACTCCCAACCTTAGGTGATCTGCCAGCCTTGGCCTCCCAAAGTGCTGGTATTACAGGTGTGAGCCACCGCGCCTGGGGTTGCTTTTCATTAAAGAAAAATGTTACTGAGGACTTCATTACCCTCACCACCTGCCTAAATAATTTCTTTTTAACTCCTATATTGTGATGATCTCTATTTTAAACTCAGTGTTGGTCAGCTGTGCCGAAACTCCAAAAAAATGAGGGAATATAATGAAGCATGTCTGAACTCCCTTCCCATTATGGCTGGGAATTCAGTTTTTCAGGTTTATTTGGGGTCCCCTTGGCCAAGAGGATGTCCGTCCAGTCATTTGGGGGTCTTAGGATGTTATTTTTGGTTTATAAGCTCAGTTCTCAGCTCTAACATTTACTAGCTGTGTGATCTCGGGCATGGTTGTTCTTGCTTCTGTGTCTCAATTTTCTTATCAGTAAATGTGGTTGATAATAATAATAATACCTACATTCTAGGGGATTTGTGAGAATTAAATAAAACACTACAAAAAAAGCTTTTGGAATAGCGCCTGACAAATAGTAAGCCATAAATAAATGTTATGATATTATTTTAATTAGCAAGATTTAAATAAGGATTAGTTAATGGCAAAAGTAGATTGTCTTTTTAAGACTGCCACTCACATGATAGAGTGATTGAATGAGGCTCCGTAGAACTCTGCTGCATTTCTGATAGTGCTATGGGATACTTCATTTACAGCTCTTTTCTACCCAATGGGCCTTTTTACTTGGAATATCAAGAAAATAATAGCTGATCATCTCTGGCTGATAGGTCAAACTTTTTTCTTTTCTTTCTCATGGAAATTCAATCACAGCACATAATACTTTGGTTTCAAAAGATTTGAAGAAAAATGTTAAGAATTTGGCTACCTAACTACACCCAACAAAAGCTTTTCTCCCTGAATCTTGAGCTCGTTCTCTCTAGATGAATAGATGAATTTACTCATAAGAATCAGTGCATGAAAGCTTTTCTCCTATCTAATCTTAATATCCTTCTGGGAAAATAATTCACTCTTTCCTATACGTTGATGGTACATCATCCTGGCTCCTGTCACCTAAAACTAAGCAAAGACAAGTTCAGTAAAATTACTGCCCCTGTAATCTCTATTTCTCATTTTTCAAGTATGTGATTCAGCAGAATTGTAGACCACACTCTTTGCTTCTACAATCATTGATTTTCTTGGTCAGTCACTTTGCAATGTTCTGCCAAGTGTCATACACAAACTGCTTTATTATATTTACATGAAAATGAAAACTTAAATATATACATGCAGATAAGCAACTTCTTCACAAATCCTCTGTCAAATTGAAAACAAAACAAATCTGGACCTGGTAAGGAGACTTTACACAAATGTATTATTGTGAGGGAGAAAGGGACTATTGTAATAAGGGGAGGGTGCTATTTCTCTGATCATAGATCTGCAAGCATCTCAAACTGTAGGCAAAAAAAATTTTTTTTAATTTTTTTTTCATTTATAGAGAGAAACAAAGCTAGAAAAAGACTGGGTGTGTGTGGAAGAGGGATAAAAGGGAATGTTTTACACTTGGGCTAATCTGTGTTTTGCAAGGGCTTTTAGGGAGAGTTTGCATGCTGGCCTAGGCTGAGGTAGGTGAAAGTTCATGAACCTGGGGCACAAAGTTCGGATAATAAATTGTGGAAATACAGACTAACCAAATGAGAAAAACAAAGGCTATGATAGGCTTGCTATAGCAAAGAAATCAGCCACTGTCATTTCAGAGAGTGAGAGGCAGGCAGAAGAGTGGGAAAGCTTTATACCTAGTGAAAAAAAGAAAGCCTTCAAGTGTACCTTCGTTGAAGGATGTTAGCTTAGGGAAGCTGTGGGAAGGCTCACTAGAAGCTGGGCATCCTATGTGATTGGTTAGGGGTGCACATTTGACTTTCTTTCATTTGTCCTGAGTTGGAACTAGGGACAGTAAATGGGGAGCTGCCAGTTTTTAATCAGGTCCTGGCCATTTTGAGCCAATTGTTACAAAAGTTATTGTATAATTTTCTTGCTTTTCGCTAGAGAAAGCAATCTGGTTTCTTCAAAGTCTGATTTATGGCAGGCTGACTTCCTGGATTATTTGTTGTAGCTAAGGGTTGCTTTCCTAGCTAGGTTAAGGCAGGTTTTGGGACAACATTATATTTTTATATGTGGTCTGTTCATTGTCCATTTGTACAATCATTCTGTCAAAGCGTTTTGTTCTGATAAGTCAGTGGAGACAAAACAATTCGACTAATCATTTATTAGGCAAAAATGGGAATTTGGAGGGTGTGTGTCTAGACATGTCATAGGTAAGTAAGGGGGACATCTGTGAATCTTATCTATTAATAACTTATATGGGGCAGAGTGGTTCTTTGCAGCAAATGAGATTCTATAGCACATAAGTGTTGGAGAGATTTCTTAATCTTTGCTGTTTTCCAGGATCACAGGGCAGAGATAAATTTCAACATTGTCACCTCTGATCATGATTTACACAATTATATGTAGATGAACATATTTGCAAGCGTTAATTATGGACACAAACACCTCACAAAAGTTAATCTGATGATATCTAATATGTATATGTTATGCATATATAATGAGATATAGCTTATATATAAATAGGAATATATCTTATATCTCATATATATGATATATAAGATCATTAGATTAAGTTCTGTGAGGTGTTTATGACCATGATAGGGTTATATTACATATATGATATGTATAATCTATTTATATATGATATATATGATCTATTACATATACGATATGTAATGTTTATATTTTATATATAGAACTTTTTTTAAATAATTATTTTTTATTTCAGTAGGGTTTTGGGGAACAGGTGGTGTTTGGTTACATGAGTAAGTTCTTTAGGGGTGAGTTCTGAGATTTTGGTGCACCCATCACCTGAGCAGTGTACACTATACCCATTGTGTGGTCTTTTATCCCTCTCCACCTCCCACCCTTTCTCCTGAGGACCCAAAGTCTAATGTATTATTCTTATGCCTTTGCATCCTCATAGCTTAGCTCCCACATATAAGCAAGAATATTCGATGTTTGGTTTTCCATTCCTGAGTTACTTCACTTAGGAATAGTAGTCTACAATTCCATCCAGGTTGCTGTGAATGCCAATATTTTATTCCTTTTATGGCTGAGTAGTATTCCATGGGATGGATACATATATATATATATACACACACACACACACACACACACACACACATACACACATATATACACACACGTATATATACACACATACACACACACATATATATATGCACACACACATATATATAGAGCTCACTTTTTTTTTTTTTTTGAGGTGGAGTTTTGCTCTTGTTGCCCAGGGCTGGAGTGCAATGGCAACATCTCGGCTCACTGCAACCTCCACCTCCTGGGTTCAAGCGATTCTCCTGCCTCAGCCTCTTAAGTAGCTGGAATTACAGGTGTGTGCCACCACGCCCAGCGAATTTTGTGTTTTTAGTAGAGATGAGGTTTCACCACGTTGGCTAGGCTGGTTTCAAACCCCTGACCTCAGGTGATCTGCCTGCCTCAGCCTCCCAAAGTGCTGGGATTATAGGCATGAGCCAGCATGTCCGGCCCATGTCTTTTTTTTTTTTTGAGATGGAGTTTTGCTCTGTCACCCAGGCTGGAGTACAGCAGCCCAATCTCGTCTCACTGCAACCTCCGCCTCCCGGATTCAAGCGATTCTCCTGCCTCTATACACCATATTTTCTTTATCTACTCATTGACTGATGGACATTTGGGCTGGTTCTATATTTTTGCCATTGCAAATTGTGCTGCTACAAACATACAAACATACACGTGCAGCTATCTTCTTCGTATAATGACGTTTTTTCCTTTGGGTAGATACGTAGTATTAGGATTGCTGGAGCAAATGGTAGATCTACTTGAGGTTCTTTAAGAATCTCCACACTCTTTTCCATACTGGTTGTACTAGTTTACATTTCCATCGACAGTGTAAAAATGTTCCCTGTCGTCGCATCCACACCCACTATTATGTTTTTTATTTTTTGATTATGGCCATTCTTGCAGGATTGAGGTGGTATCGCATTGTAGTTTTGATTTGCATGTCCCTGATAAATTAGCGATGTTAAGATTTTTTTTCCATATACTGTTGGCCATTTGTATATCTTATTTTGAGTATTGTCTATACATGTCTTTAGACCATTTTTTGATAGGATTTTGTGGGGGTTTTTGGCTGATTTCTTTGTTGATTCTGGTTATTAGTCCTTTGTCAGATGTACAGATTGTGAAGATTTTCTCCCATTCTGTGGGTTGTTTGTTAACTCTGCTGATTATTTCTTTTGCTGTCCAGAAACTCTTTAGTTTAAGTCTCATCTTTTGTGTTTGTTTTTGTTGTATTTGTTTTTGAGTTCTTGGTCATGAAATCTTTGCCTAAGCCAATGTCCAGAAGGTTGTTTGCAATGTTATCTTCTAGAATCTTTATGGTTTCAGGTTTTAGGTTTAAGTCTTTGACCCATCTTGAGTCAATGTTTTTATATAAGTTGGGAAATGAGGAACCAGTTTTTTTCTTCTACATGTGGCTTGCCAATTATCATAGCACCGTTAGTGTAATAGAGTGTCCTGTACCCACTTTTGTTTGCTTTGTTGAAGATTAGCTGGCTGTAAGTATTTTGCTCTATTTCTGGGTTCTCTATTCTGTTCCATTGGTCTATGAGCTGATTTTATACCAGTACAATGTTGTTTTGCTGATTATGGCCTTATAGTATAGTTTGAAGTCTGATAATGTTTTGCCTCCAAATTTGTTCTTTTTGCCTAGTCTTGCTTTGGCTATGTGGGCTCTTTTTTGGTTCCATATGAATTTTAGGATTGTTTTTCTAATTCTGTGAAGAATGATGGTGGTATTTTGATGGGAATTGCATTGAATTTGTAGATTGTTTTTGGCAGTATGGTCACTGATATGGTTTGGCTGTGTCCCTACCCAAATCTCAACTTAAATTGTATCTCCCAGAATTCCCATGTGTTGTGGGAGGGACCCTCAGGGAGGTAATTGAATCATGGTGGTTGGTCTTTCCTGTGCTATTCGTATGATAGTGAATAGCTCTCACAAGATCTGATGGGTTTGTCAGAGGTTTCCACTTTTGCTTCTTCCTCATTTTCTCTTGCTGCTGCCACATATGAAGTGCCTTTTGCCTCCCACCATGATTCTGAGGCCTTCTCAGCCATGTGGAACTGTAAGTCCACTTAAACCTCTTTTTCTTCCCAGTCTCTGATATGTCTTTATCAGCAGTGTGAAAACAGACTAAGACAGTCATCTTCATGATATTGATTCTACCCATCCATAAGCATTGGATGTGTTTCCATTTGTGTCATCCATGATTTCTTTCAGCAGTGTTTTGTAGTTTTCCTTGTAGAGGTCTTTCATGTTCTTAGTAAGTATTTTATTTTTTTGCCACTATTGTGAAAGGGGTTGAGTTCTTGATTTTATTCTCAGCTTGGGTGCTGTTGGTGTATAGCAGAGCTACTGATTTGTGTATATTAATTTTGTCTCCTGAAACTTTGCTGAATTTTTAAAATCAGTTCTAGGAGTTTTCTGGAGGAGTCTTTAGGGTTTTCTAGGTAAACAATCATATCATCAGCAAACAGTGACAGCCTGACTTCCTCTTTACCGATTTGGATGCCCTTTATTTTTTTCTCTTGTCTGATTGCTCTGGCTAATACTTCCAGTACCCTGTTGAATAGAAGTGGTGAAATAGCGGTTGAATAGTTGAAGAAGTGGTTGAATAGAAGTGGGCATCCTTGTCTTGTTCCATTTCTCAAGGGAAATGCTTTCAACTTTTCCCTGTTCAATATAATGTTGACTGTAGGTATAGAACTTTTTTAGTGCTGTTTTAAGTACACAGAACAATTGAGAGAAAGGTACAGAGATACTCATATGCACCCTGCCCCCACATATACATAGCCTACTGCTTCAACAGCATTCCCCATCAGAGTGATAGATTTGTTAAAACTAAGGAACCTACATTAACACATCATTGTTATCTAAAGGCTAGGTCTCTTTAGGGTTCACTCTTGATGTTATACATTCTACAAGTTGGACAAATATAGGAGGACATGTACCCACCATTATGGTATCATACAGAATAGTTTCACTGCCTTAATTCTCTGTGTGCTGCCTATTTAATCCCTCCCTCTCTCTAACTCATGACAACCACTAATCTTTTACTGTCTCCAGTGTTTTTCCCTTTCCAGAATGTCATATATTTGGAATCATGTAGTATATAGGCCTTTGAGATTGAGTTCCTTCACTTAGTAATATGCATTAAAGTTTTCTCCACATCTTTTCATGGTTTGGTAGCTATTTATTTTCAGTGATGAATAATATTCCATATGATCCTGGATGTACCACAGTTTATTTATCCATTGATTTATTAAAGAATATCCTGGTTGATTACATGTTGTTATAATTATGAATAAATTATGAATATAGCTGCTATAAACATCCATGTGTAAGGTGTTGTGTGGAAATAAGTTTTCAATTCATTTGGGTATATAACCAGGAGTGAGACTGCTGTATCATAGAGTGTATGTTTTGTTTTGTAGGAAACCACCAAACTGTCTTCCAAAGTGGTTGTGTCATTTTGCAATTTCATCAGCAATGAATGAGAGTATCTGTTGCTCCACTTCCTCACCAGCATTTGGTGATGTCAGTGTTCTAAATTTTTGCCATTCTACTAGACGTGTAGTGGTATCGCATTGTTTTAGTTTGCATTTCCTTGATTAAATATGATATGGAGCATTATTTTATGTGCTTATTTGTCATTGCTTTGTATTTTTTGGTGTCTATTAAAGTTTTAGGTCCATTTTTTTTTTAAATTCAGTTAGTCGGTTTTCTTATTGTGGAGTTCTAAGTGTTCTTCATACATTTTGGATAACAGTCTGCTATGGTTTGAATGTGGTGTCACCTCTGAAATTTATGTTGAATCTTCGTCCTCATTTTTGTTATATTAAGAATTGGGGACTTTTGGAAATGGATTAATACTCTTATAATAAAAGCTTCAGAGAGCATTCATCCTCTCTTGCCCTTCCATATCTTCCACCATGTGAAGACACAGCATTCCTCCCTTCTGAAGGATGCAGCAGAGGCTGAACTGTGAGAAATAAATTTCTGTTGTTTATAAATTACTAAGACTGTGGTATTTTGTTATAGTAGTACAAATTGACTAAGACACAGTCCTTTATCAGATATGTCTTTTGAAAATATATCCCCTAGTCTGTCTCATTTTTTCCTTTTCTTGACAGAGTTTTACACAGAGTAGATTTTCTAAAAATTTTAATAATGTCCAGTTGAACAATTCTTTCTTTCCTGGGTCAAGTTTTGGTGACATATCTGAAAAGCTATCACCAAACCATGTCATCTAGATTTTCTCCTATGTTATCTTATAGAAATTTTATAGTTTTGTGTTTTACATTTAGGCCCGTGGGATATTTTGAGCCAATTTGTATGAAGGATGTTAGGTCTGTGTAGAGATATTATTATTATTATTTTTATATGTGGATATTTGATTGTTCCAGTACGATTTGTTGAAATGACTGTCTTTCCTCCATTGTACTGCCTTTGCTCCTTTGTCAAAGATTAGTTGATTACATTTATATGGGCATATTTCTAGGCCCTTTATTCTGCTCTATTGATCCATTTTTAATATCATTTTGCTAAAAGCACACTGTTTTGATTACTGTAGCATTATAGTAAGTCTTGAATTTGGGTAGTATTAATCCTCCAACTTGGTTCTTCTCCATTATTGTGTTGGCTAATCTGGGTCTTTTGTCCTTCTATATAAACTTTAGAATAAAGTTTATCTGTAAAGTAACTTGCTAGGATTTTGATTGGTATGGCAATGAATCTACAGAACAAGTTGGGATGAACCAACATCTTGACAATATTGAGTCTTCCTATAAATGAAAGTGAAATATGTCCTTATTTGTGTAATTCTCCTTTGATTCTTTTCATTAGAGTTTCTTCATTTTTCTCGTACAGATGTTGTACATATTTTGTTTGACATATATAAATATTTCATTTTTTAGGGTACTAATGTGAGTTGTGTTGCATTGTTAATCTCAAATGCCACCTGCTGATGGATTTTTGTATATTATTCCTTGCATGCATCACTCAACTTTGATATAATAGCTTACCAGTTCCAGGAGGTTTTTTGTTGTTGTTGTTTGTTTGTTTGTTTTTGGAGACAGACCCTGTCTCACTCTGTTGCCCAGGCTGGAATGCAGTTGGTGGATTCACTGATTTTTCTCTATTGACTTTCTATTTTAATTTCATTTATTTCTGCTCTAATTTATATTACTTATGTTCTTCTGCTTAATTTGTATTTAATTTGTTCTTCCTTTTCTAGTTTCCCAAAGCGGAAGCTTAGATAAATTGATTTTAGATTTTTTTCTTTATGATATGTGCAGTAAATGCTGTAACTTCCCACTAAATACAGTTTTTACTGTATCCCAAAAATTTTGATAAGTTGTATTTTCATTTTTATTTAGCTTAAGATATATTAAATTTTCGATTGAGATTTTTCTTTAACCCATGTTATTTAGAGTTGTGTTGTATAAGCTCCATGTATGTTGGGATTTTCTGCCTTTCTGCTATTAATTTCTAGTTTAATTCCACTCTGGTTTAAGAGCAGACATTGTGTGATTTCTATTATTTTAAATTTGTTGGGTTTATTTTATGGCCCCAAATGTGGTCTGTATTATTGAATGTTCCCTGTAAGCTTGAGAAAAGTGTATATTCTGCTTTTGTTGGATGAAATAGTCTATATATTGTAGTCAAATATATCCTATTGATTGACGGTGTTGCTGGGCTCATGTCTCAGTCTTTTCAGACTGCTATAACAAAATGTCATGGACTGGGTGGCTTATAAGCAACAGAAATTTATTTCCCACAAATATGGAGGCTGCAAATTCCAAGTAACCGTCTCTGGCAAATTCAGTGAGTGCATAATCTCTAGCTTACAGATCACATTTTCTTACAATGACCTCACATGGTGGAAGGAGCAAAGTTTCTATTTATAAAGCCCTTTTAATAAGGCCACTAATCCCATTAGGTTAATAGACTGTGCCTTCTCTCAATATCTTTACATGACTTAAACACCTCCCAAAGGCCCACCTCCAAATACCATCACCTTGGGTGTTAAGATTTCAACATTTGAATTTGGGGGGGTAAGGGAAGAACAAGCATTCGAACCATAGCAGTTTAACTATATCTTTACTGATTTTCTCCTTGCTGGATCTGTTCATTTCTAATAGAGAGGTGTTGAAACCTTCAACTAAAATAGTGAATTCATCTATTTCTTTGTGCATTTCCATCAGTTTTTGCCTCATGAATATTGATGCTGCATTGGTAGAATGATGTGTTGTTACAAGAATTGCTATTCCTTGTTGGAGAATTGACCCCTCTATCATTATGTAATGCCCCTCTTTATTTGTGGTAACTGTTTTTTTGGCCTGCTCTGTCTGAAATTAATACAGCTAGCTACTCTTGATTTGATTAGTACTAGCATTGTATATCTTTCTACATTCATTTACTTTTAATCTTATGTGTCTTTATATTTAAAATGGGTTTATTGTAGACAACTTAGAGTTGCATATTATTTTTTGATCCATTCTGGCATTCCCTATCTATTAATTGGTACATTTAGAATGTTGTTGTTTAAAGTGATTGCTGATACAGTTGAATTAATATCGACCGTACTTATTACTGTTTTCTTTTTTTAAGTAAAATATCAGAGACTTTATTTAACTCTTCAGGAATTACTAAGATATTATAAAGGGGAATTTGAGAAAACGGTCTTTTGTTATTTTTACTATATCTGGCATTCTCATTATGTGTAGGTTACACCTTTTGTAGTCGTGCCACAGTTCTTTGATGTTCTATTCTATTTTAGCCTTTTTTTTTCCCTTTGGTTTTCAGTTTTGGTAGTTTATCCTCAAGCTCAGTGTTTCTTTCTTCACCCATGTTGATTCTGCTAATAAGTTCACCAAAGACATTCTTCATTTCTGTTCACATTATTTTTTATCTCTAGCATCTCTTTTTGATACTTTCTTAGGCTTTTCACCTCTCTGCTTACATTTCCTATCTGTTTTTGCATGCTGCCTACATTTTCTGTTAGAACCTTTAGCGTGTTAATCATAGTTGTTTTAAATTCCTGTTCTGTTAATTTCAAGATCCCTGCCCTGTGTCTGTCTCTTCAAACTGTGTGTTTTTTGTTTGTTTGTTTGTTTCTTTTCTGCCATTTAGAGTATGTGTGTGTGTGTATCTTTCAGATAGATGATAGATAGATAGATACATAATAGATACCTAGACAGATAAGATAGATAGCGGAACAGGATGTACTGTGTAAAATGAATTACTCTAAATATGTCGTTAGTAATGCGGTTTTAAGGTGTGGGAGGAGAGAAATTAGTTTATAGTCCTGTGATAAGGCCTCTGTCTTTTAGTGAGCCTATTCCTCGTTACTGTGAATGTTTACAAGTGTTCTGCAGTTTTTCTCTCCTTCTATAGGTGGAATAGGATAGCTAGAGTGAGCTAGAGTTTGATATTTTCCTTTACTCACATGGAAAGCTAGAGGCTAGAGTTAGATATTTCCTTCCTCCCAGAGGAAGTTTGAGTCTGATAAGATTCAGCAGGTTAGACTCAGGTTAACTAGTTCCTCCTGAGGGCACACCTGTTTAAGAAGAACAGCGTGCTCTCCCGTAATTCAAAATGGTTCCTTTCCCCACTCCCTGCTGGGAGCACAAGGGAATTTTCCCCTCATGTCTAATGTGAGGACTCAGTCAAGTTTCTCGAGGTAAAACTGACAGAAGCACCTCACCCCCTGCCCCGCCGTGAATGAGTCCTTCTGCAGTTTTTAACTCTCAGTATTGCTCACACTGAGCCTAGAGCTATTCGTCAACTACTGTTCCAGGTTTCTTACCCTGCCACTGGTTCCACGGAGCTTTCTGTACAGGTAGGTTGTGATTCTTATGCATCTGCCTGTCTGTCACTTCAATTCTGGGAACAGTATTTTGCCCTGTGATGTCACTTCTTTTCAAATCTAAAAAGAGTTGTTGATTTTTCAGTTTGTTTAGCTCCTTACTTGTTACAACAGAGTGGAGATTTCCAAGTTCCTTACCTGCAGAACTGGAAAAATGCTCTATCATGTATATTTTATATTTCTATCTCCAAAGATGAAATATTTCATTGTGAGGTTTGTGTGTGTGTGTGTGTGTGTGTGTGTGTGTGTGTGTGTGTGTTTAAAGAAATCAATCTAAATATTCAGGAGCATCCCTAAGGCATATCATTGTTTCTTCCAATGATAGATTAATGAGATATTTGAGGAACTTAGGAGAATGTTACTCACCTGATGATGTTTGCTGCATTTTATGTTTGAGAATGTGCTTTAGGCTATTATGAATTTAAATACTACTTCCCATGTTACTGAGATTAATAGTTATCTTTTCCCATGTTGGCCTTAAATTGATTCCTCAGGCTTTACTTTTCCCCACTCTTAATGTTAAGGACTCAGACACTCAACTTTTAGTTTTCGTGATGGCCTTGCCACAGACTTCAGAACCTCCAGGGAATGGCGATTGAAATAGACATAATAGACACAATACTTTAGGATCTACCAAGAGTGCATTATAATTCAGAGCAAAAAAGAAATGCAGAAAAGTTTCATTCATAGAATTGTTCATTATCACTCTCATTGATTCTTCTTAAATTCAGCTCCTCATGGCCACAATGATTCAGTGGAAAAGCCTCAGGAAATTTGAAAGTGTGGTTTAAAATATTGTGATTGCCTTGTCTGTGTGGACAGCAATTTGATTACCTAAACATGAAATAAATGAGGGGGTGGCATTTCCATTGTTACTCCCTCGCTCCTTAATCTGTATCAAAGCAGTATACACATATCAACCCATTTCAGACTTAATATGAGGCTTTCAAAATTGAGCAATAAATCATTTTGATAAAGAAATCTATAAAGGAAACAAATATTTTTATATAGGAAGCAGCTTTCCAAAATTTAATTTTGCAAGAATCTTATTTAGAAATATGAGATACAGGCTGGGCGTTGTGGCTCATACCTGTAATCCCAGCACTTTGGGAGGCTGAGGCGGGTGGATCACCTGTGGTGAGGAGTTGGAAAGCAGCCTGGCCAACATGGTGAAACCCTGTCTCTACTAAAAATAAAAGAATTGGCAGGGTGTGATGGCGGGCACCTGTAATCCCTGCTACTCAGGAGGCTGAGGCAAGAGAATTGCTTGAACCTGGGAGGCAGAGGTCGCAGTGAGCTGAGATTGCATCACTGCACTCCAGCCTGGGCAACAGAGCAAAAGTCCATCTCAAAAAAAAAAAAAAAAAAGAGATATAAAATATATGCCATGAAACAGCTGGTAGAAAACACAAGGTTATGTACAGGCAAGTATGAGAAAAATGGATCAAAGAAGTATATTTTGATGTCCATAATGTGAAAGAGAACACTTAAATAATATAATTTGAAAGATGCTAGAGAAACTCCCTGTATCCCAATGTATGTTACCATGCCAGTATGTTAGTGAGCAAAAATACTTTGCATGCAAGGGTTAATGGTTCACAGATGCTTACACTGTTATTTCTCCACTATATATTTCTCTTCAGTATATACTGTTGAAGTATAGCATGTATATATATAGAAAAAAAGCCCCCATAACTGAGTTCTCCTGCAGTTTTTAACTCTCATCATTGTTCTCGTTCATGTGTATATATACATGGTATATGTCAACAGTTAAACTATTTATATATAATAGACATATATAGCATATATTTATATGGCATACTTCAACAGTGTGCGTGTGTATATATATAATATATATAAAACATATATATTATTTACATATGAATCCTCAAATATATATGGGAGAAATAACTGTAAGAGTCTGTGAACCATTAACCCTTGCATGCAAAGTATTTTTAGATCAGCGAAACTCCATAAAATGGGAAATTATATGAGGAAGAAATTTTATGGAAGTATTATAGCCAATAGCTACAGCCAAAATATAGACATCTTTGGAATGAGATCAAGGAGGGGTGAAAGCAGAATGGGTAAATGAGAGATACCAGACAAATTTTACAAAATATTGCTCTGGCTATAAGTATTTAGACAATTTTGCCCTTGTTTGAAACCAAGGGCTAATTAATTATATCAGGGAAATCTGGAGAGCTTTAGCAGCAAAGTCTTATTGTAAAAAGTAAAGAAATTAACCTCTGAGCCATTTGTTTCCTCTGTAGACAAGCAAAGAGAAGCAGAGATGAAAGTAGGAGTGTGGGTAAATCTGTTCAAAATTCCTCATCTAGTCAATTTGGCTTTAAAAAATGCAGAGCGACTTGACTGGCCTAGTGTATTCTTTAATGTGTAGAGAGTTTCTTACTTGAAAGGTTCAGTTTTTCAACTGAATAACTGTCAGAAAAATTGTAGGTGTCTTATATATTTTTGTCTTTACCACTTTAGTGCAGGCTCATTTGACTTCCAGCTGCCAGAAACAGGGTTTTTTTTTTTTTCCCTTTGCCTGTGGTTTATCTCTGGCTAGTCACCAAGCTTCAGCAACTTAAGCGTGGGGTCAGTTATGCTGGAGATTAGGACCACTTGGGAGCAGTGCTTAACCAATGACTACAGGGAGTTGATGAGAAATATACACCAATCTCCATGTCCCTTGTGTGGCATTAGAGGCATGATCTTCACATTGGCTCTTAGTGTGTCCCTAGCAGAATTAAGGTTCACTGACACACAGCGAGTAGCTGGCTTAATAATGTGCCTTGTCTAATTTCCCAAACCCTACTAAGTGATTTCTTCACCTTTCAAATAAACGACTTGTGAGAGATCTTTGTCTCAGGGTCTACCACTGAGACAATTTCACCTGACTTAAGATGAAAATTTCACCTGAATTAAGATGAAAATCAACTAAGCAAGTTATTTGATATAATGTAAATCTATGTGGATCACTTCTTTTATTCCATAAATGCTATCACAAAATAAACAGTTTATTTGGTGACTAGACCTCCGAAAGCTCTGCCTGTAGAAAGGGAGACATCGGGAGCTTGAGTGTTTTGGTGGATATGAGGCAATAAAACTCATTCCAGTGTAGCCATTTTCAAGAAGAGTGGATGCTGAGAGTGGCAGTTTGTAGTTGTGGTTACTAATATAGGCACATGTACTGAGCCATACTTCTGGCCTCTACTCCATATGTGCTGCACAGCTGGCTAAGCTGCTGGAGGAGCCTACTGCATAAGACAGCCTGCAGGTCTTGAGATAAAACACACCTGCTCCTGCTTGCTTTCTTCTGGGACCTTCCACGTTAAACTGAATCATCTCTTTTTCAATAAAGACAGGGCTCAGTTATGGGAATACAACAAGCACTGGGTGCCAGGAATAGAAAAAAAGCTGGAATCTACAGAAGCAAGTTGACAGGACATTATTCTAGACAAAAAGAGAGATGTGTCTGCCAAGTTATACTGGTCACATAGCACTAGCATTACCGAGACATCCATAATCCTGCAAAAGAATTTTTAGAGAAAAATAAGCTCAATTCTCAGAGGACTACAGATTTACATTTGTTTCCAGTGACCCACTGTTACTTACATGGCTTGCTACTGAGATCCTTCAAGCAAAATATTAGAAAGACCCTACCGGAAACTTCAATTCTTACATACGTTTATCACTTTTGTCCTTAAAATTTAGTGTCCTTAAGCAGTATTTCCACACATATAGAATTAAAATAGCCGGTCAACATACATTCTTTCTGGTTCACATTCTTCTTTTTTCTTATGAACTTTGTTGACTCAAGCAGCCTGAGCTATTGAGAACTCCTGACTTCTCAAGAATCAGAACTCACACTCAAGAAAGCTAAATGGTTCATGGTTCTTGAATAAATATGTGAGTTTTTCCTGAAGCGAGCGAAGCTACTTTTGTGAGTCACTGCATCTTTTTATTATTATTATTATTATTATATTTTAAGTTTTAGGGTACATGCGCACAACATGCAGGTTAGTTACATATGTATACATGTGCCATGTTGGTGTGCTGCACCCATTAACCCGTCATTTAACATTAGGTATATCTCCTAATGCTATCCCTCCCCCCTCCCCCTCCCCCCACCCCACAACAGGCCCCGGTGTGTGATGTTCCCCTTCCTGTGTCCATGTGTTCTTATTGTTCAATTCCCACCTATGAGTGAGAACATGCAGTGTTTGGTTTTTTGTCCTTGCGATAGTTTGCTGAGAATGATGGTTTCCAGCTTCATCCATGTCCCTACAAAGGACATGAACTCATCATTTTTTATGGCTGCATAGTATTCCATGGTGCATATGTGCCACATTTTCTTAATCCAGTCTGTGATTGTTGGACATTTGGGTTGGTTCCAAGTCTTTGCTATTGTGAATAATGCCGCAATAAACATACATGTGCATGTGTCTTTATAGCAGCATGATTTATAATCCTTTGGGTATATACCCAGTAATGGGATGGCTGGGTCAAATGATATTTCTAGTTGTAGATCCCTGAGGAATCGCCACACTGACTTCCACAATGGTCGAACTAGTTTACAGTCCCACCAACAGTGTAAAAGTGTTCCTATTTCTCCACATCCTCTCCAGCACCTGTTGTTTCCTGACTTTTTAATGATCGCCATTCTAACTGGTGTGAGATGGTATCTCATTGTGGTTTTGATTTGCATTTCTCTGATGGCCAGTGATGATGAGCATTTTTTCATGTGTTTTTTGGCTGCATAAATGTCTTCTTTTGAGAAGTGTCTGTTCATATCCTTTGCCCACTTTTTGATGGGGTTGTTTTTTTCTTGTAAATTTGTTTGAGTTCATTGTAGATTCTCGATATTAGCCCTTTGTCAGATGAGTAGATTGCAAAAATTTTCTCCCATTCTGTAGGTTGCCTGTTCACTCTGATGGTAGTTTCTTTTGCTGTGCAGAAGCTCTTTAGCTTAATTAGATCCCATTTGTCAAGTGTGGCTTTTGTTTGCTCTTATGAGTCAATATGAGAGTTAGGAGAGAGGATGGAGGCAACATCCCTAACATATCTCTGAACTAGTGGGTCTGGTGTACTAGGCGTTCCTCTCATCAATATCTCCTCTCTTTCTCTCTCTTCCCCCACCTGATTCCCTCCTGAGCATCTTTCCAAAGGCTATTGACTCTCCCTTCTTCAGTAGAGGCAGTTACCTTTTAATCTTGTATGTTCAGTCTGATGTGTACATTGCAGGATTTAGAATTTACAGGAAGATTAAACTTGGTCCTTTCTATCTTCTGTAGCTATTTCTTCTTGACTCCTTGGTCTTCTGATAATCATTTGATCCACAAGCCTGGTTTACAATGAGGAAAACATGGGCCATATTTAGATAGAACATGGTTGTGGTTTACACAAGTTGGATAAGAAACTGGTGAATAAAGAGGCCTTCACAGTTTTCTCTAGGGATTTTATGTCAGTTTCCAAGAAATCACTACATAGTTTGCTCTCTCCATTGCCTTTCTATTAACTATGCATCATATTAAAGAAGCTAAGAGCAATTTGTTGAATTCAGGCCAAGAGAAAGGTGAGAAATTGTGTGACAATTAATAATGATGAATTCAAAACATTAGGTTATTATGGAGATTCTTGTTAAAACCTTTAGAGGCAAACAATAAATTATGCCAACTTTGATTTTGCCAATACCTCACTAACTCTTTTGGTGATGATCAGGAATTGTTTATAAATGTCTGTATACATCAATTTCAGAAAGAGAATCTTACAGAAGGATAGCTCAATTTCTCTCAGCAATATTCAATAGAAATATTCAAAACACTGTTAAAGTAAAAAATATTCATGACACATTTGTTGAAGATGGTAAGGTAGATTTTATTCAAGAGGAGCCATGATGATAAATGTAGGCACCACTGCAGTGGGATCCTGCAATAGGGAAAATAGATTGGACTTAACTTCAACTTCAATAAGAACAAGTGAGAATTTATAACCAAGAAACTGGGTAAATGTCAGTGGATGCAAAATTACTAAGAGGAAACTTCTGGGCAAGGTGTCAGGGTCCCGGGGGCAGAGAGTGGTTGGCTCATGGATGGTAAAATAATTTACCAACAGTGGTTTAGGTTTGAAAAGAAAAGTTTTATTAGAAGGAATGCTGCAGCAGAGTACAGTGGGGCGCTTATGCAAGAGAAGACTGAGCACGCCTCGGTGCATTTTCTTTAGGCATGTTTGTGGACCTTAATGCAGGAACTTCAGGGTAATTTGTACCATATTAGTCACCTAAGTGATGGTCAATTATTACATTTGTAGACATTTTGGTACCTTGATATCACCAAGAATTTTGCTGGTCCCTGAAGATTCAGAGTCCCACTATGGTCTTTGTCCTTAAGAAACCATCCATCTAGTGGAAAAATAAGTGAATAATTATAACTTGGTAGACACAGGCAGGAGCTCAAGCACTGAGCCCAGATAGTCTACGTGGACGAGCTTCCTTGACGAGAGAGATCATGAGAAGACTGCTTGCTGGAGGCAGAGCAGGAGTGTAAGAAAAGTAGGAAAGGAACAAGCAAACTGGCAAGTGGCTAATACTCTAAATTATGCAGCTTTTAAGATTTGGCTAAGATAAAAGCTTTCTCTGGGAGGTTCGTGATGCATCTCATCTCTCTTCCTTCCCTTTGGCGTCCTGACTAATGGAAGATACACATATAAAAGTGTATAACCAAGTGAGAACTATTGTTCCACTTGACAAATCTGGACAAGCCACCTATAACCCTCAAAATGTACCTTCTTTTTGTAGGTCTAACACTAAGATTGGGTTTCCTGTCCCATTTCTCTTCCAGTAAAGAAAACTGAGCCTGCACAGTGTTTTACCTACTCAGGAATAGGCAGAGGATCTGGAACAGAATACTTCTGTGAATCTGGTTTAGAAAGTTCTCCTGATCCATTTATCTGTTTGTAACAGGACATGTGAGAGGATTCAAGAAGTGAGTCTGGATCTTTTAAGGCCTGCAATTCTGCCTCCTAGTAAAATGGATTAATTGTAACCTCTGACCAATCACCTTGGCCAGTCCTCCCTCTCTGGAAAAAGGATTGAAAGCGGGTGGAAGTGGGGAAAGCTAGATGAGCAGAAATTTCCCAGTAAACCCATGACAAAGACTACTGGCCGCTTACTAATATTTATTCTCCAAGCTGGGCGTGGTGGCACGTCCCTGTAGTCCAGCTACTTAGTAAGCAAAGGCAGGAGGATCACTTGGGCCCGGGAGTTCAAGGCTGTAGTGGTCTGTGATTCTGCCTATGAATAGCCACTGCACTCTACTCAGGGCAACATAACAAGATCTCATCTCTAAAACTAATAAAATATTCATTCTTCACTCCTTTCTTAATGACATTACCTAGATATTGTTGAGACTGACAATGTGCCCAGTTTAGAAGCAACATTTACCAGTCCCATCTGAGGCATTGATGTCTATGGGACAGGCTTCTGAGCTATGCAGTCTTACAAGAGACTTACAAGCAGGGCTTGCAGGAAGTTTTTCTAAAACAATGTCATGCCTTAAGAACGTACCAGCTTTTATACTTAGCCTTCTTATTTCTACTATCCCAGAACCTAAATGTGTTGGCTGGAGCCACAGCAATCATTTCATGAGAATGAATATGAGAGGAACCTAGGCCATAACAACATGAAACCACGGTATCTGTACTATTTTGTGACTTATCCATTACTAGAGGAAAACATAAATTCCATACTTTTTTAAGCAACATTTGTTTTGTGTGTGGTGGTGATGTCTTTTTTATTCGTAGGGGAATATATTTCCTAACCAATACACTCTTCTACATGGGAGGGAAAAATCCAGTAAGTCTACTTCTCTATAGTGCAAGGCTAAAAATATGGCATGAAGGTAGAAATGCTTTTTTTTAACTTAACAATAGTATAATCTATTGATTTATAAATCAGTATGTTGCACCACATTACGGGCCAAGAAAGTGCTGAATATAAATAGCAAATACTCTTTATAACCTGAAGAAAGAAATGGTATCACAAAATCCTCAAAAATCTGAACTAATTTACTAAATAAGAGAAAATCACATTCTTAAGCAATGCTAAAAGGCAAACTTACCATTTCATGTTGTCAATTTCTAAGATTATTTTGAAGTAAACACCTTCCTCATTTTCTCGATTGTTAGATGAGCAATTTGCAAAAGGCTGCCCCAGGAAGTGTCCATGAGAGAATGCGTTGGTCCCTTAAATGGAAGTGACAGCTGTTGGATAATGCTGGAGTTCTGGCGTATGCCTTCTGACCACTCACTGTGACAAAGTTTTGATGAGTCACCTTATGCTATGAGTATAGAAGCATCCCTTATGAAGAAAAGTGATGAAAATAGCAACAATATTTCTCTTTTAAAATTGACTGAGTAATTTAAAGAAATATGCACCAGTATCCTCACATCTTTTCAAGGAGCTGATCATCACTGTGGACATTTCATGCTTTTTATAGCTTTGGTTTAAAATGAATGATGATCCTTAAGCTCTAATGATCAACTTCACCATAATGTTCTCCAAAAGCATTTAGGGATGCAACATCAGGCACCGATTTGACATAACTCAACAGTAACAATATTTGGCTGTAGAGATTGAATGCTCCATGTAAAAAATATCAACAAAAAACAATTTTTTATTAACAAACGGAATTAACCATAGAAAAGATGTTATTTTTCCTATTGTTTCATTTCATAGGGAATTAAATTTTATAATGTCTTGATGTTCTGGTGTAGTTCTTAGTCCCAGAAATACCTGGAACTTGTGAACATAAGGGTTTAGGGTCCTTAAATGAAGATACCGGGTGCATATCACATATCTATTTTCCAGGTGTTAGTACCCAACATCAGGCTTGATAATTTTCGAAAGTGCTTTCACTAGAAGCAAATGTGTAAACTGGGGATTTCAGCCAACTCAGAATATTTTTTAAAAACTTAGTGGAAAGCCAGTTTGGTTATCTCCCTCTGTACTTTAAGAATCACATTTTCCAGATTATTTAGTCTTTAAAGACCAATGCAGTTAGAATACATGACTGAGCCTATAGCCCGTCTAAGTCCCCCAGCTGTGAAGTAAATGAAATAATTCCACATAATCCCCATAATATTTTGGATTCAGATAGAAGTAGATTTAATAATTTTTGTGTTTTAACTAAGAAAACCATCAAATAAATTTAATCACTGATAAATTTAGCATAGCCAGGGACAGGAGAAGATCAGGGGTGTCAAGACTCTTTTTCTATACACATTTAATGGAGCTATGTGGTCTCAGTTCCATATATAATAACTCTGTGCAAATCAACAAAGCAGGAGACTCCAATCTGGTTCTGACAGCCCTCATTTCTCGAATATCAATTCTTTCTAGACCAACAAGCAGAAATGCAATTTTTGTTTTGATTTTGATGAAAGCTGAGCAACAAGAAAACATCTTCACTCCTTTTGTCACCTACTTTATGTAGCCTGTCTGTTTTAAGCCTGTACATCCTTTTCTGCCTCATTATCACCTACTTTAGAATGCCAGAGACTGTAAGACACAGAATCAAGACCAGGGCTCAGGAAAATGCCAGCATTGCAGAGATCACTGAGCTCTCACTAAGCCCATTTCTTAGACTCCTTTGCATTTATATGTCTCCAACACCTTTCCCTTTGCACCCACTTGTTGCAATTGAGTTTGGTAACCTTTGAAATCGTGCTTCCAAAGTTGGTGAAGCTCGAGGTAAACGTCCCTAAATTATTAATTAAAGGAAAGCTGCCTGTCAATGAAGAGCAAACATTTTGGACTTAATGTATACAATAAATGAATTGTCACGTTTGAGCCTTTAAATATTCTTTCAGGATTTGTTGGCTACAGCACCTAAGTTATCTTAACTAAACAACAAAAATCATTAGCATTTTTTTCTCACTGATATCCTGCATATTTGGAGGCCTCTCTAGAAAGTCTGTCTCTTAATTCCTTAGTTCTCTACATTAAGTTTGTCCTCTCCCATGTTTGCCTATGATCAAGACATCTAGACATCTCTTCCAATAGAAATGAATTGGATATTAAACATCTTAGACATCTCTTCCCATAAGTCCAACCTAGTTCCTCTTTCAAAACTGCCCTATCCCTGCCTTATGTCTTCATGAACTTGTTTATTTGAGAAGTATTTAGCTAATTCACTCAAATACGGAAATATCTAAATGTGAATTAAAAATTATCCCTCAAAGGCTAACACCTTTAGATTTTGAACTCCAATACACTAATTCAAGTGAATGACTAACATGAGAAATGCAAACCAAGTAACTAACTTTTGGAAGACTACAAGTTTAGGAAGATTTTTAATTCCTCATGTCACATCTTATGATGTGTTTCTTATTTTGTAGTGTGCAATGTGTGCCATGACCCCAGCAATCAGTTGGTAGTACCAGGTTAGGCTTTAAGTCCTCACTTTATTAATCATATCTTCACCAGTACCATCCTCTGGATCTGCTAACTCCATCCCCTGCGTAGTCATAAAAATTATATTCTCTTTGAGATGTTGAAGCTGGTTTTCTTCCAGTACAGCCATTAACTTCCAACCTGTTTTCTTCTCCCTCACTGACACCCTGCTGACCTATGAAGCAGCAAGCCAAAGGGATATGAAAATATCTGTTAATTTCCCTCTTGTGAATTTCCCTCTTGAAAAATCACTTAGAACATACCAAAACCTACAACAGGATAAACTGAAGCGTATGCTCTCACTGAAGTTTCACCAAATAATATCTTACCCTTAAGCCTGTCTTAGTAAAGCGTGTTTGATTTACCAGAGAGATACTCAGTTGAGAAAGTCAGGTCCGTTAACACAATAGGTCAAAAGTGTTAATGTGCTTTTTAGAAAGTTTGCCCACACAGCTGCATACAAAGTGGCTGTTGCAATAGGTGATTTGCTCCACGTAGACAGCTATTCTGGATAGTGCAGCGTGAACAAAAAAAAGGAGTCTTTAAAATGTGGAAATGTCCGATGGCCTATAGTATTCTGTTTGATTGCCTACACAAGCCTAAAAACCTGGCAGCATATTGGGCTGTGTTAAATGAAGACTAGCTCAGGCTCTACTCTGTCCGTCTTAGAAGGTATTCTGGTCTGTTTCCCAGCGAGCTTGTGAAAGTGTAGGGGGCTGGGAATGCTTGCCAAATGGCCTCGTGTAATCAGAGCCCCTAATATCCAATTCATTTATATATGGCCCTCGTGCATTAGAGCAAATTGCTAAAAATGCCATAAAAAGAGTTATTGTAAGGTTATTGAGGTTCTGAGAGGTGATTGATGCCTTAATTAGGCCTGTTAATAGTCTTCATAGTGGTGTGTTGTAATAACTAAACAGTCAGGTTGGGATTTAGGGTCACTATATTAGTTTGTTGAGTGCCACTAAATGAGGTTTCCTCTTCAGAGCCAAATTATAATTTTATAGCTAACTCATAAACTTAACTCAGCTTAAATACTATTTAAAGGGCTCAGAGAGGTGCTTATTTACCAAGCGTTAAGCCACTAAGCTCTAAGCTGTAAAACTTGAAGTCCAGCTATTACAATTCTTAGTCTTGAGAATAACCACATTTTAAATAATGCTCTATATTCCATAAAACAGAAAAGGTAAATTATAATACACTAGAGAGGAAATTGCAAGTATACACACACAAGTATAAAGTAACATTCACTATTTCTATCAATTTAAAAAGAAACATTGATAATTGCTTTCAGTTCTCAGTGTTCCTATTAGGTTGAGTCTAATTCCAGTCAGTAGTGTGAGGTGGTGGCACAAATATATTTGGTTTCCAAAGCACTATAAGAAAAAATATCTTCAGTAGTTAAAATTTAATATGAGAGTCTCTACTCTTTTAAATTTATATTTATTTTTTATTATTTAATTTTATATTTGATTTATAAAGACTCCAGCATTCATCACATTATTAACAAAAAACGCATCTTTTGTATATGAAAAAATATAGCCTGCTTAAACTCTTCTCCTTTGATAGTCTAATTGAACATTCTATTTTTTAGCCTTACTCCTAAAAGATGCTTTCAATGTGACCTTACATATGCTATATCACTAATAAAAAAGCACCTGTGGATAGGTAGAACAGGAATTTCTAACCTTATTTTATAAAGAGAGACAATGAAGCACATCATTATCTGAATCAGAGTGCAAATCAATTTCTGATACCTGGATTATGTACACTAAACCTTCTGAAAACCAATTCTCGTAGTATATTGATAGAGCAAGTGAGCTAATCAGGAATATATAATTGATATAGTTTAGCTGTGTCCCCACCCAAAATCTCATCTTGATTGTAATCCCCATAATCCCCAGGTGTCAAGGGAGAGACCATGTGGAGTAGTTGAATCATGGGGGCAGTTTCCCCATGCTGTTCTCATGATAGAGAGTGAGTTCTCATGAGTTCTGATGGCTTTATAAGTGTCTGGTAACTCTCTTGCATTCATTCTTCTTCCTGCTGCCTTGTGAAGAAGGTGTCTTGCTTCACCTTCTGCCAAGATTGTAAGTTTCCTGAGTTGTCCCCAGCCATGTGGAACTGTGAGTCAATTAAACCTCTTTCCTTTCTAAGTTACCTGGTCTCAGGCAGTTCTTTACAGCAGTGTGAGAACAAACTAATACAACAATTAAAAAACAAGTTTTAGAAACATGGTCTCTCTGCTTTGAAAATGGAGGCAAGATGATAACTAGTCCCCACTCACTGATCCTCTGAGACCTAAGGTTAGACTGGTTCACGGCAGCAACTGGAGGGTAAGCATTAATGGTGTGATACAGAGGCTATGCTGGCATAAAATGTAGATGCTGGATCCAAATCAGAGGTCCAGATAAAAAAGGAGAGGAGACAATGCATAAAAAGAGGTTATAAACAACAGAAAACAAAACAAGGAACATTAAGAGAAAGTGGTTCAGAGTAAGTAGTGAGGGATGGAAAAGCTTTTGAGATAGCACACCTAAGTTTGCAGTAGAGTTTTACATAATCCTGGCACATGCCTGCAAGGACAATCTAATGTAGCACAATGGAACCTCAATGATGGCATATGACCAGACTGGTGGTTTCAGGACTGATGATTAGAATACTTTATTACTAGGATGCTTGTAGAGAAAACTAATATTGGTAATGAAAGGAAATACTCATTTGATCCAGTTATTCGGTGTCTTAAATTATTTTCTGTTACAGTAGGCAAATACCACAGACTGAGTAATTTATAAAAAATAGTTTATATAGCTCACCATTCTGGAGGCTGGAAAGTCCAAGAGCATAGTGCCAGCATCTGCTAAAGGTGTCTTTGCTACAACGTGACATGGCAAGTGTTATCACATGGCAGAGCTTGCCAGCTCAGGCCTCTTCTTTCTTTACAAAGACAATAATCCCATTGTAAGCTCCCCAACCTCATGATTTCATCTAGCAATAATTGTCTTCCAAATGCCCCACCTCCAAATACTATCAATGTATAACTCTGGAAATTAAGTTTCTAAAACATGAACTTTTGGGAGACACATTCAAATGATAGCATTTGGCAAAAATATATGCTCAGACTGCATGGACAATTTTGTTTACATACATTAAGCTCATTTTTACTCAAGTTTAGTTTAAGTCACTTGTGTGTTTAGATATTACAGAAGTCACATAAACAACTTTGGGAGAATAACTACTACTTAAAAACTGTTTATTTTCAAAGTGTGATGGATTAACTAAATTTTTCACTCATTCATTTATCAACAAATAATTACTAAGTGCTACCATCTGCCAAGCATGGTGAAATAAACATGATTACAAATGAGAGATTCATTGAGCTTGCAATCAAACCTTGAATCCAGCACTTACTTGATAAGTGGCCTTAGACTATTCTGAAGTATTTGGTATCTTACTTTCCTTATCTTTAAAACAGAAACCTTACTTACTTCATACGGTGAATTGATCATTATTTTTTAATGCGAACTGCCTAGAACACAGACTGGTCAAGTGTGAATAATTTTTTAATCTTTATTATGGAAAAGAATAAGTCATATTTCTTGCCTTCAAATAAAATATAGTTTAATGGGAAACAAAAAGTTATATAATAGAGGCACATGAAGACTTTTTTGGGGTGTAATGTAGATACGTAGTGACGTATGATACCACCAGAGGTTTCTCCCCCTTAAAAAATTGTTTTGTGATTATAGGCAATAGACTTGAGTCCTAAATGAGCCCCAAAACTTGTGTCAGCACAACATTCGAGAATAACACATTAAAGAGACACTGGAGTTGAACTACTAAACCTAGATTCTGAATCAGAAAGCAAATGTTATAATACAAAGGACAGGAACTCAGATACAAATTTCAATTCTCATTCCAAGAAGTATTTTCCAGTCAATTCGGCAAAATTTAGTAAACCACTCAGTAGTGACTTACCCAATGTTTTCTGGATATTAGTTATTCTTTTGAGATCTAATTATAGAGGCTCAATAAATGGCAACTATTATTTTACCGCATTATTTAATATAAAAATACATGACATATATGAAACCTGAACATGTCATTTCTCTGTATATATACTTCATCCTGTCTTCAATGTCTCTAAGACAAAAATGTCAATTATTAAGCATAGTCTATAAACCCCTGCCAGACCTCATCTCTGCCTTAGGCTCCAGCCTATTTTTATCACTCCTTCTTCACTTCCAGATACCCCGTGCTTTGTTCTGTCATCTTTTCATGACTTTGCCCACATGCTATGTCCTCTGATTGGAAACTACTGTTTTCCCAAACATAAAGACTCATTCATGATTTCTCTCTCCCACAAATCTTTCATTCCCCCAGCCCCTGCACAAAATGAAGTAGGTGCCCTTTTTCTCTGTTTCAAAGTGCTCAAACTCACATATGTTTTGTCATTTTTATTGCATTTGTTTCTCTACTTTTCTGTCTACTTGACTCAAATTCCTTGAGAGAAAAGACTGTCTTCTATACCTTCCTCTTGAAGACCTGGCTGTGAACTGGTCATATAAAGATTGGTCTATAAATGATTGTGAAATGAATCAATCAGTCCTTGAGAAATATAAACTGCAAGTGTGAGTAGAACCAGTCTATAAGCTTGAAAGATCCTTAAGTCACATGAGAAATTTGACGTGAGATCTGGAAAGGATCTTAAAAATCTGGAAAATTTTGCATTCAGTAAGACGTGTCTAAAGTCCTGCTATAACATGAATTTGTCTCTGGCTCTGGGGAACAAGGAGGGCTCTGAGATAAGAGGCACTTGTCTATTACCACCAACTAGTCTTTGGTGAGATACTCAGAGCATTGGCCTCTATGAATTCTTCCACACTGCAGAATCTTACTGTCAGTGGCATTTTAGCTTAACCACAAATGACATCTTTTCTAAATATAGAATCTGTTTTCCAATACATCTAACTACTTCTGATTCCAGATGTTTTTATGTACTGGAACCCTCTGGGAAAATCAAATCTGTTATGTAGGCAATAGCCTGGTTACTTAAACTTAGAAAAAGTAGTTTTTCTCTCTTCTTTTTACTTCTTGTCAAAATAATTTAATGTTTTGTTGTTGTTGTTTGAGTCTCACATAATTGCTTCTCCTCCATTTCATTTGATTGAGGAGGCCTGACCACTGGGAGTCATTATATTAACCACTCCTCCATGTAAAATAATGAACTGTTCTTGGTCAAAGCTCTTTTCATTGATAAAAACATACACTCACTCAAACTAGCTTTAGAAAAAAGAGGGAATTGATTATAAGTAATAAAGAAAGGGTAGTAAGTACAGTCAGCCTCTCAAAACACTTGGGACCTGGAAAACAAACAGGAAACAAAGCAGTCTATCTCCCTCATTTAAGAATATAGTAGGCTGCATAAATATCTTCCTATGAGAAGTGTCTGTTCATATCCTTTGCCTACTTTTTGATGGGGTTGTTTGTTTTTTCTTGTAAATTTGTTTAAGTTCCTTGTAGATTCTGGATATTAGCCCTTTGTCAGATGGATAGATTGTAAAAATTTTCTCCCATTCTGTAGGTTTCCTGTTCACTCTGATGATAGTTCCTTTTGTTGCGCAGAAGCTCTTTAATTTAATTAGACCCCATTTGTCAATTTTGGCTTTTGTTTTCATTGCTTTTGGTGTTTTAGTCATGAAGTCTTTGCCCATGCCGATGTCCTGAATGGCATTGCCTACATTTTCTTCTAGGGTTTGTATGGTTTTAGGTCTTACATTTAAGTCTTTAATCCATCTTGAGTTAATTTTTGTATAAGGTGTAAGGAAGGGGTCCAGTTTCAGTTTTCTGCATATGGCTAGCCAGTTTTCCTAACACCATTTATTAAATAGGGAATCCTTTCCTCATTGCTTGTTTTTGTCAGGTTTGCCAAAGATCAGATGGTTGTAGATGTGTGGTGTTATTTCTGAAGCCTCCATTCTTTTCCACTGATCTATATATCTGTTTTGGTACCAGTACCATGCTGTTTTGGTTAGTGTAGCCTTGTAGTATAGTTTGAAGTCAGCATGATGCCTTCAGCTTTGTTGTTTTTGCTTAGGAGTGTCTTGGCTATAGATTCAATGCTATTCCCATATTCATTCTACTATAAAGACACATGCATACATATGTTTATTGCAGCACTGTTTACAATAGCAAAGACTTGGAACCAACCCAAATGCCCACCAGTAATAGACTGGTTAAAGAAAATGTGGCACATATACACCATGGAATACTCTGCAGCCATAAAAATAATGAGTTCATATCCTTTGCAGGGACATGGATAAAGCTGGAAACTATCATTCTAAGTGAACTAACACAGGAACAGAAAAGTCTTTTTTGGTTCCATGAAATTTAAAGTAGTTTTTTCCAATTCTGTGAAGAAAGTCAGTGGTAGCTTGATGGGAATAGCATTGAATCTTTGAATTACTTTGGGCAGCATGGCCATTTTCACGATACTGATTCTTCCTATCCATGAGCGTGGAATGGTTTTCCATTTGTTTGTGTCCTCTCTTATTTCCTTTGAGCAGTGGTTTATAGTTGTCTTTGAAGAGGTCCTTCACATCCCTTGTAAGTTGTATTCTTGGTATTTTATTCTCTTTGTAGCAATCGTGCATGGAGGTCCACTCACTATTTGACTCTCTTTTTGTCTATTATTGGCATATAGGAATGCTTGTGATTTTTGTACATTGATTTTGTATCCTGAGACTTTCCTGAAGTTGCTTATCAGCTTAAGAAGATTTTGGGCTGAGACGATGGGGTTTTCTAAATATACAGTCATGTCATCTGCAAACAGACAATTTGACTACCTTTCTTCCTATTTGAATGCCCTTTATTTCTTTCTCTTGCCTGATTGCCCTGGCCAGAACTTCCAATACTGTGTTGAATAAGAGTGATGAGAGAGGGCATGCTTGTATTGTGCCAGTTTTCAAAGAGAATGCTTCCAGCTTTTGCCCATTCAGTAAGACATTGGCTGTGGGTTTGTCATAAATGGCTCTTATTATTTGAGATATGTTCCATCAATACCTAGTTTATTGAGTGATTCCTCAAGGATCTAGAACCAGAAATACCATTTGACTCAGCAATCCCATTACTGACTATATAACCAAAGGATTATAAATCATTCTACTATAAAGACACATGCATACATATGTTTATTGCAGCACTGTTTACAATAGCAAAGACTTGGAACCAACCCAAATGCCCATCAATGATAGACTGGATAAAGAAAACGTGGCACACATACACCATGGAATACTCTGCAGCCATAAAAATAATGAGTTCATGTCCTTTGGAGGGACATGGGTAAAGCTGGAAACCATCATTCTCCGCAAACTAACACAGGAACAGAAAACCAAACACGGCATGTTCTCACTTACAAGTGAGAGTTGAACAATGAGAACTCATGGACACAGGGAGAGGAATATCACACACCAGGGCCTGTTGGGGGTAGGGGACAAGGAGGGGGGATAGCATTAGGAGAAATACCTAATGTAGATGACAGGTTGATTGGTGCAGCAAAAACACCATGGCACATGTATACCTATGTAACAAACCTGCACATTCTGCACATGTATCCCAGAACTTAAAGTATAATAAAAAAAGAATATAGTAATAGGTATTTCACTCTATGTATAGACATTTCATTAATTCTTTCTTAGCCACTGCCATTTCCTCCTTCTCCATAAAGTGGCAGAATGGGATTGCTTTATATCTCATCAGTTTGCATATCTTCCCAGTTTGAATTGTGAAATGAAACTAACTACATAAAATTTTTCTTTTTTCTTTTTTTTTGAGACAAGGTCTCACTCTGTTGCCCAGGCTGGAGCGCAGTGGCATGATCTCAGTTCACTGCAACTTCTGTCCCCTGGGATCAAGTAATTCTTTGACGTTAGCCTCCTAAGTAGCTGGACTACAGGTGCACGCCACCGTGCCCAGCTAACTTCTCAATCCCAGTTCCACATGCTTGCAAGAAAGAAATTAGCCTGAATGGGTCAGTTGTCCATCTTAATTAACTGTAACTATAGGATGACCATTGCCATGGATGGCCCAGGACATGGCAAGGCTAGCCCTGCTCATATATGAAGACACATTGTGTATATTTTGTAGGATAGATCCAACTGGAACATCTGACTACCACATAGAACAGTATTTCCATCCAACATCAATTGGTGGTTTGTTTTCTGTACTTGCTCTGTACCAGTAGAGATATTTACAACCATGTATCAAGTACAGTTCCTAATGTTCAAGAGCAGCACATGACAATCACATGCTTAGTCTCTATGACTTAGTACTGAAAATTGTAAGTGAGGCAAATTCCCTTCCTCTTCTTGGCCAATGCTTTAAAAGACTATCTCACTATGTCCTACTCAATGACATAATCTTGTAATAAACAGTTAAAATATAATAAATCCTCCCAGTACTACTTTGTTTTTTTCCTTTGAATATATATTCTAGAACCCTCCTCAAGACAAAGGCTATTTTTTATTTTAAAAAAAGAAAAACGTTTCTTGATCTCTGGTGATATGCCAAACCTTGTTCTACATACTTTATTTGTAATCAACATACTTAATCTCCATAACAATCTAAGTTATATATAATTATGTATGATTTTATAGGTGAGAAAAAAGGTTCAAAGCTTTAAGTATTATACTTTGTGCAAAGCATACAGCTAGCTAAGGGAAAAGTAAAAATTGAAACTGAGGATGAATTTGAGGCTACCACAGCCTATTTCTGCATTGACTTTTATTAGTCATCTTTGACTTCCTAACACTTCCTAACACTTCCTAACTTCCTAACATCTTTTACTTCCTGACACTTACTGATAAGTGAAGTGTGTATGGTAGAATTTTCTCTAACTGACCTCCTTTAGCCAGTTCACTATGTTAGATCTTTTTCATGTCTTGATAAGACATGAAAAACATTGGTAAGTGCCTTTGTGTTTCTCTTTCCAGTATTTGATATGTTCACTCTTTATGCCTGTTTGAACTTGCAATTTAATAACATAATATTAAATAGGATATTAAATAGGACTGATTAAACAGAATCATGAAAACAGTTATTTCTATAAAAAGCGTTTTAAGTGTTTTGCAAGAATTTGAGATGAGCCACCATAATTATTGCCTTTTTAAGTAGGATTGCAAAAATGTTATGAAAATTAGAAAAAATTAATTTCACAGAATGATGGGCAAGGGATAATTAACAAGTACTGTTAAGTGCTTGTTTCACTTTACAGATTTTATGACTGGATGGTTTAGGTGATGCATTATTGATATGATTATGCAAAAAGGTTTATTCCAATCAATGGAGAAATATTTAAAGTCTACATAAAAATTGTCAAATAAATACGTATTTATATGTTGTAGGCTAAAGTAAGATGTTTCAGCAGACGTGTAACTATTTTTAAATTCCACTTTCTAATTTTTATTAGTGATGCATGATACATGTACATAGTTTTGGTGTACATGTGATGATTTGACACATGCATATAATTTGTAAAGATCAGATCAGTGAACTTGGGATATCTATCACCTGAAATACTTTTATATTCCTTATGCTATAACCATTCAAATTCTTCTTTTCTAGCTATTTTGAAAAGTACAATAGATTACTGTAAACTATAGCCACCCTACTGATCTAACACAAGATGTTATTTTTTCTATCAAATCATGTATTTCTACCCATTGATCAACTTTTTTTTATCCTCCTATTGCCTCCACTTCCTAGCCTCTGATAACCACCAACCTACTCTCTATGTAAGAGAGCTACTTTTTTAGCTTCCATATGTGAATAGGAATATGCAATGTTTGTCTCTTTGTGCTTGGGTTTATTTTACTTAGCATCCAGTTCCATCCATGTTTCTGCAAATAACAGGATTTTATTATTTTTTGTGGAAGAATAGTATTTAATTGTACATATGTATTGTATATATTTATATTTTTTATAAATTTATTTTGTATATAAGTATATACCATGTTTTCTTTATCCATTCCTCCTTTGATAGGCAGTTAGGCTGATTCTACAATTTGGCTATTGTGATTAGTGTTGCAGTAAGCATGAGAGTGTAGACATCTCTTCAATATATTGATTTTCTTTCTTTTGGATATATAGCCAGTAGTGGAATTGCTGGATCATATGATAGTTCAATTTTTTTTTTTTTTGAGGGAAAACTATACTGTTCTCCATAGTGGTTGTACTAATTTACATACCCACCAACATTGTGCAAGGATTCTCATTTCTCCTCATTCTCATCAGCATCTGTTATTGCCTATTATTTTTATAAAAGCCATATTAACTAAGGTGAGATGATATTTCATTGTGGTTTTGATTTGCATTTGTCTGATGATTAGTGATGTTGAATATTTCTTTTCACATACCTGTTGGCCATTTGTATCTCTTTTTTTGAGAAATGCCTTAGACCTTTTCTTCATTTTAAAAATACAATTATTTGTTTTTGCTATTGAGTTGAGTTCCTTGTAGATGTTGGTTATTAATTTCTTGTCAGATGCATAGTTTGCAAATATTTTGTCCCATTCCGTGGGTTGTCTCTTCACTTTGTTAATTGTTTCCTTTGTTGTCCAGGAAAGCTTTAGCTTGATTTGTTTCTGTTTGTCTATTTTTGCTTTTGGTTGCCTATGATTTTGAAGTCATACACAAAAAAATCTTTGCCTAGACCAACTTCCTGGGAAAAGACAAAAAACCATTTCCCCAAAGTTTTCTTCTAGTAGTTTCATAGTTTGAGGTCTTAGATTTAAGTCTTTAATCCATATTGATTTGATTTTTGTGTATGATCAGAGATAGGGGTCTAGTTTCATTCTTCTGCATAGTTATCCAGGTTTTCTAGCACCATTAATTGAATAAACTGTTCTTTCCCCATTTTATATCCTTGAAATCTTTGTCAAACAGGAGTTGGCCATAAATATGTGGATTTTTATCTAAGTTATCTATTCTTTGTTTCTAAATCAAAAGCAATACTGAATACCTGGAGGGATTACAGACATTAATGCCACCATCAAGGACTTGAAAGATAAGATGATGATTTGTACTTATCCCCATTCAACTCATCTATTTGGCCTATCCAGAAAGCAGATGGAACTTGGAGAATGACAGTGAGAAATAATAAGCTTAACTAAGCATTGATGCCAATTGCATCTACTGTCCCAGATGTGGTTTTATTGCTTGAGCAAATTAACACATCCCCTGGTATCTGGTATATAGCTATTAACATGGAAAATGCTTTTTTTCTTAATATTTGTTAATAAAGGCCACCAGAAGAAGTGTGCTTTCAGTTGGCAAGGCCAGCAATACATCTTCACTGTCCTCCCTCAAGGGTATATCAATGCTCCAGCCCTATGTCATTATATGGTATTCAGGGAATTTGATCTTTTTTTCTTTCCACAAGACAAAATGCTGGACTATTATATATATGACACTAGCTTATTTCACTTAGTGAGCAAGAAATAGCTATTACTCTAGACTTACTGATAAAATATTTGCATGTGAGATGTTGAAAAATAAAATTGGCAAAAATTCAGGGGCTTTTTTTTCAGTGAAGTTTCTAGAAGACTACTGTGTTAGGCAGGGTGGAATAAGGCAAATGATAAATTGTTGTATCTACACCCTTCTACAAGCATAAAAGAGGTATAGTATCTAGTGGGTCTCTTTGAATTTTGAAAGCAATATTTTCCTCATTTGGCTAGGTTACTCTGGCCCATTTACCAAGTGATCCAAAAAACTGTTAGTTTTAAGTGGAGCACACAATAGAAGAAGGTTCTGCAACAGGTCTAGGCTACTGTGCAAGCTGCTCTGCCACTTAGGCCATATGATCCAGCAGATCCAAAGGGGTGTGAAGTGTCACTGGCAGAGAGAGGTGCTATTTGGACTCCTTAGCACGTTACTATAGTGCATAATAGTGCAGATCCTTACGATTTTGGAGCAAATCTGCATCATATTCAGTGAATAACTCATCTCTTTTTTAGTAGAAGATTTTTATTTGCTACTGAACCTTAGTAGAGACTGAACGCAATCATTGGCCACCAAGTTACCATGTAACCTGTACTACCCATTGTGAACTAGTGGTTGTCTGACTCATCAAGCTATAAAGTTGGGTGTCTGGAAGCAGCACTCTATCTTCAAATGGAAGCAGTATTCATGAGATTGGCCCCTAGTAGGCCCTAAAGGCTCAGGTAAGTTACATGAGAAGCGGGCCCAGGGCTCCTACTCCTGCTGCATTACCTTCTTTCATCCATCCCACACCTCTCATTTCCTTGGGAACTCTCTATAATCAGTTAACTGAAGAAGAGAAAGCTTTGGCCTGGTTTACAGATCACTCTGCATGATATACAGGCACCACCTGGGAGTAAGCAGCTGAAGAACCATAGCTCCTTTTTGGGACTTTCCTGAAAAACAATGGTGAAGGGAAATTCTCCCAGTGTGCAAAACTTTGGTTTATCTTGCTTGGAGGGAGAAATGGCCAGAGGTACAAGTCTATATTAATTCCTAGGCTGCAACCAATTGTTTGGCTGGATGGTCAAGAATTTGGAAGGAAAATGATTAGATAAGTACTGAAAGGGAAGTCTGGGGAAGAGGTATATGGCTAAGCCTTTTTGAATAGGAGAAACATGGAAATATTTGTATTTCACCTGAATGCTCACCAAAGAATAATCTGAGCAGAGGAAGAATTTAATTAACAAGTAGTTAGGATGACCCATTCTGTCGATAGCAGTTAGCATTTTTTCCCAGTCATCCCCATCTGTCATTGCTCAATGAATCCACGAACAAAGTGCCCAATTTGTCCAAATGGCAGAGATGAAGGGCGTACATCGGCTCAGCAATGTGGACTGTCATTCACCAATGCTCATCTAGGTATAGCTAATGCTGTGTGTCCAATCTGCTGGCAACACAGCGCAACATGTGGTTTCTCATACGACGTGATTCTTTGGAGTGATTAGTCAGTCACATAGTGGCAGATTGATTATATTGGATTGTTTCCATCATATAAAATTGAGCATTTCATGGCAAACAAAGTGTGGAATGAGCCCATGCTCGTGGGGGTGGTGCCACTCACTTTTTTTTTTTTTTTTTTCTTGAGACAAAGTTTGGGTCTGTTGTGAGACCAGAGTGCGGTGGCACAATCTCAGCTCACTGCAAACTCTGCCTCCCGGGTTCAAGCAATTTTTCTAGCTCAGCCTCCTGAGTAGCTGAGGTTACAGGCGTGCACCACCACGCCCGTCTAATTTTTGTATTTTTAGTACAGACAGGGCTTCACCATGTTGATCAGGCTTGTCTTGAACTCCTGACCTCGTGATCCTCCTGCCTCAGCCTCCCAAAATGGAAAAATGCTGGGATTACAGGCATGAGCCACCACACCCAGCCACCACTCACTATTACTTTTAGTAATCAACTAGCAATTTTATTGGGTTGGTACAAAAGTAACTGTGGTTTTAGACTGTGAATTTTAAATCATTACAACTAGGCTCAAACAAATCTTTTGTAATCAAAATAGGAAGCATTACAATCAACACATTTTTGCCAAGGAGAAATGCTTGTTTTTTTCTTATAGCATAAAAATCCATGTTTTAGGATTCAGCAAACTCTCGAAAAGCATTTTCTGCATCCTGCTGGTTGCAGAAGCATTTTTCCTGCCAAAAGTTTTCAAGATGCTTGAAGAAGTGGTCGTTGGTTGGCGAGAGGTCAGGTGAATATGGTGGATGAGGCAAAACTTCATAGCCCAATTTGTTCAACTTTTGAAGTGTTGGTTGTGCAACGTGCAGTCAGGCATTGTTGTGGAGAAGAATCAGGCCCTTTCTGTTGACCAAGGCCAGCTGCAGACATTGCAGTTTTCTGTGTATCTCATCGATTTGCTGAGCATACTTCTCAGATGTAATGGTTTTGCTAAGATTCAGAAAGCTGTAGTGGATCAGACCGGCAGCAGACCACCAGTGACCATGATGCTTTTTTGGTGCAAGTTTGGCTTTGGGAAAGTACTTTTAGGCTTCTTCTTGTTCTAACTACTGAGCTGGTTGTCACTAGTTGTTGTATAAAATACACTTTTCCTCCCACGTCACAATCCGATTGAGAAATGGTTCATTGTCATTGCATGGAATAAGAGAAGATGCCACTTCAAAGCAATGATTTTTTTTTAAATGTTCATCCTGCTTATGAGGCACCTATTTATCGAGCTTTTTCACCTTTCCAGTTTGCTTCAAATACCAAGTAACCGTAGAATGGTTGATGTTGAGTTCTTTGGCAACTTCTCATGCAGTTGTAAGAGGATGAGCTTCAAAGATTGCTCTCAATTGGTCATTAACTTCCAATGGCCGGCCACTACACTCCTCATCTTCAAGGCTATTGTCTCCTTTGCAAAACTTCTTGAACCACCGTTACACTGTACATTTGTTGGCAGTTCCTGGGCCAAATGCATTGTTGATGTTGTGAGTTGTCCCTGCTGTTTTATGACCCATTTTGAACTCAAAAAAGAAAACTGCTCAAATTTGCTTTCTGTCTAACATCATTTCCGTAGTCTAAAATAAATGTAAAATAAACAGCAAGTACTAAGTCATTAGCAAAAAAAATAAAGCGAGAAATGCGCATTCATGTATAACATGACCACGTTTATTTAAGAATGTATTTCTTTTTGTTTGATTGTTTGTTTGAGACGGAGTCTTGCTCTCTTGCCCAGGCTGGAGTGCAGTGGCGTGATCTCTGCTCACTGCAAGCTCCGCCTCCCAGGTTCATGCCATTCTCTTGCCTCAGCCTCCTGAGTAGCTGGAACTACAGGTGCCCGCCACCACGCCCAGCTAATTTTTTTGTATTTTTAGTAGAGACGGGTTTTCACCGTGTTTGCCAGGATGGTCTCGATCTCCTGACCTTGTGATCTGCCCGCCTCGGCCTCCCAAAGTGCTGGGATTACAGGCGTGAGCCACCGCACCCGGCCAGGAATGTATTTCAGTATCAAATGGCAAATTTCAATAATGCAAAAGTATTTACTTTTGCATCAATTATAATTATATATTATAATTTTATATTACAGATTTCATTGCTTAGAACAATTTTAGGTTCACAGAAAAATTGAGTAGAAGGTACTGAGATTTCCAACATAGCCTGTTATTGTTAATTTTTTTTGCCAACTTGAGTGAGCTAAAGGACGTCTAGATAGAAAGTAAAACATTTCTAGATTTACCTGTGAGGTTGTTTCTAGCAGAGGTTGACATTTAAGCCTGGGTGCGGTGGTTCACACCTGTAATTCCAGCACTTTGGGAGGCCGAGGCAGCCAGGTCACCTGAGGTTGGGAGTTTGAGACCAGCCTGACCAACATGGAGAAAGCCTGCCTCTACTAAAAATACAAAATTAGCTGAGCGTGGTGGCACATGCCTGTAATCTCAGCTACTCGTGAGGCTGAGGCAGGAGAATCACTTGAACCCAGGAGGCAGAGGTTGCAGTGAGCCAAGATCATGCTGTTGCACTCCAGCCCGGGCAACAAGAGTGAAACTCCATCTCAAAAAAAAAAAAAAAAATGATATCAATAGACTGTTTAAAGAAGGTCTGCTTTCATCAGTATGGGAAGGCATCATCCCATCCATTGAGAATCTGAATTGAACGTAAAGGCAGAAGAAGAGCAAATTCTCTCTCTCTTCTTAAGCTAAGCATGCATTGTTTATTGACTTTGGACATCAAAACTCCTGATTCCCAGATCTTTAGATTCCGGGTCTTATACCTCCTGGTTCTCAGACCTTATGCCTTGGACTGGGAGTTATATCATCGGCTCCTATCTGGTTCTCAGGCCTTCAGAATTGGACTGAATTATACCACTAGATTTCCTGGTTTTCCACCTTGCAGAGAACATGTCATGGGAAATCTTGGCACTCATAATTGAGCCAATTCTCATAATAAATCTCCTCTTATTTATCTGTATATATCCCACTGCTTCTGTTTCTCTGGAGACCCATGGCTAATACATATCTCCTACTCCCAAACATGCATAGCTTCACCCATTACCAACATTACCCACCAGAGTAGTACATTTGTTGCAATCTTTGAATCTACATTAACTCAGTATTATCACCCAAAGTCCACAATTTACATTAAGGTTCAATCTTGGTGTTATATATGGTATGGATTTGGACAAATATATAATGACATGTATCTACCATTGTAGTACTATACAGAATAGTTTTACTGCCCTAAAAATCCTCTGTGAACCATCTATTTATTCCTTCCTGTTCCCTCATCCCTGCAACTACTGATCTTTTAGCTATCTACATAGTTTTGCCTTCTAGAATGTCATATAGTTGGAATCACACAGTACATAGCCTTTTCGGATTGGTTTCTTTTACTAATATGCCTTTGGGTTTCTTCCATATTTTTATTTCTCAATACTTAATTTGTTTTTAGCACTAAATAATATTTTGTCATCTGGATGTATCATAGTTATTCATCTACTTAAGGACATCTTGGTTGCTTCCATGTTTTTGCAATTATGAGTAAAGGTGCTGTAAACATTCAAGCACAGGTTTTTGTGTGGTCATAAATTTTCCGTTACTTTGGATATATACTAAGGAGTAAGATTGCTAGATTGTATGATAAGAATATGTTTAGTTTTGTAAGAAATTGCCAACATATCATCCAAAGTGGCTGTACCATTGTGCATTCTCACCAGTAATGAATGAGAGTTAGGGTTGCTCTACATCTTAACCAACATCTAGTGTTGGTGTTCTGGATTTTGCTAAGCTAATCCAGATGTAAACTGGTATCATATGGTTTAACTTGCATTTCCCTCATGAAATATGTTGTGGAACATCTCCTTATGTGCTTATTTGCCATTTGTGTATCTTCTTTGGTGAGATGTCTGTCAAGGTTGTTAGCAATTTTTAAATTAAGTTTTCTTATTGTTGAGTTTTAGGAGTTCTGGCATATTTGGAATAACAGTCCTTTAAGGTTATGTCTTTTGCAAACATTTTCCCCACTCTGTGACTTGTCTTTTCATTCTCCTTAGACTTTTTACAGAGAGTCAAAATTTGTAATTTTGATTAAGTCCAGCTTAATAATTCAATATTTTGATCTTTAGTGTCATATCTGAAAAATCATTGTCAAACCCAAGGCCTTCTAGATTTTCTTCCATATTATCTTCTAGGAATTTTATAGTTTTGTGTTTTACAATTTAGTTCTGAGATATACTTTGAGTCAGTTTTTGTCAAGGGTGTAAAGTTTGTATTTAGATTTTTTATGTCGATGTGAGGTTATTTTATTACCATTTTTTGAAAACACTCCTTGCTCCATTGTGTTGTTTTTGCTCCATTGTCAAATATCAGTTGACCATATCAATCTATTTCTGGGGTCCCTATTCTGTTCCACTGATTTATTTGCCTATTATTTCACCAGTTCCACACTGTCTGGATTACTGCAGCTTTATATAAAGTCTTAAAGTTGGATATTGTACATTCTCGGACTTTGTTCTTCTTCAATATTTGGTTGGTTATTACGTGGGGTTTCTTTTTTGCCTCTCCATATAAACTTTAAAGTCACTTTGCTGATGGCCACAAAACAGCTGTTAGGATTTTTATTGGAATTACATTGAATTTATACATTAAATAGGAAATAGCTGACATCATGACAATATTGAGTCTTCCTAATTATGAACAAGAAAGATCCTTCTATTTATTTTGTTCTTTATTTCTTCTTCAGAATTTTATAGTTTTCCTCCTTTAGATTTTATACATTTTTATATTTATACCTAAGTATTTTATTTTAGGGGTGCTAATGTAAGTGGTAATAATTTTTTACTATACTTTAAGTTCTAGGGTATATGTGCACAATGTGCAGGTTTGTTACATAGGTATACATGTGCCATGTTGTTTTGCTGCACCCATCAACTTGTCATTTACATTAGGTATTTCTCCTAATGCTCTCCCTCCCTCAGCCCCTCACCCCCTAACAGGCCCCGGTGTGTGATGTTGCCCTCCCTGGGTCCAAGTGTTCTCATTGTTCAGTTCCCACCTATGAGTGAGAACATGCAGTGTTTGGTTTTCTGTCCTTGTGATAGTTTGCTGAGAACGATGGTTTCCAGCTTCATCTTTTTTATGATTGCATAATATTCCATGGTGTATATGTGCCACATTTTCTTAATCCAGTCTATCATTGATGGACATTTGGGTTGGTTCCAAGTCTTTGCTCTTGTGAATAGTGCCACAATACACATACGTGTGCAAGTGTCTTTATAGCAGCATGATTTATAATCCTTTGGGTATATACCCAGTAATGGGATTGCTGGGTCAAATGGTGTTTCTAGTTCAAAATTCCTGAGGAATTTCCACCCTGTCTTCCACAATGGGTGAACTACTTTACACTCCCACCAACAGTGTAAAAGCATTCCTATTTCTCCACATCCTCTCCAGCATCTGTTGTTTCCTAACTTTTTAATGATCACCATTCTAACTGACATGAGATAGTGTCTCATTGTGGTTTTGATTTTCATTTCTCTGATGACCAGTGATCATGAGCATTTTTTTTATGTATCTGTTGGCGGCATAAATGTCTTTTTTGAGAAGTGTCTGTTCATAAACTTGGCCCACTTTTTGATGGGGTTGTTTTTTCTTGTAAATTTGTTTAAGTTCTTTGTAAATTCTGGCTATTAGCCCTCTGTCAGATGGGTAGATTGCAAAAATCTTCTCCCATTCTGTAGGTTGCCTGTTCACTCTGATGGTAGTTTCTTTTGCTGTGCAGAAGCTCTTTAGATTAATTAGGTGCCATTTGTCTACTTTGGCTTTTTTTTTTTTTTTTTTGCCATTGCTTTTAGTGCTTTAGTCATGAAGTTCTTGCCCATGCTTATGTCCTGAATAGTATTGCCTAGGTTTTCTTCTAGGGTTTTTATGGTTTTAGGTCTAACATTTAAGTCTTTAATCCATCTTGAATTAGTTTTTGTATAAGGTGTAAGGAAGGGATCCAGTTTCAGCTTTCTGCATATGGCTAGCCAGTTTCCCCAGCGCATTTATTGAATAGGGTGTCCTTTCCTCATTTCTTGTTTTTGTCAGTTTTGTCAAAGATCAGATGGTATTATTTCTGAGGGCTCTGTTCTGTTCCATTGGTCTGTATCTCTGTTTTGGTAACAGTACCATGCTGTTTTGGTTACTGTAGCCTTGTTGTATAGTTTGAAGTCAGGTAGCATGATGCCTCCAGCTTTGTCTTTTTGCTTAGGATTGACTTGGCAATGTGGGCTCTTTTTTGGTTCCATATGAACTTAAAGGTAGTTTTTTTCCAATAATGTAAAGAAAGTCATTGGTAACTTGATGGGGATGGCACTGAATCTGTAAATTACCTTGGGCAGTATGGCAATTTTCATGATATTGATTCTTCCTATCCATGAGCATGGAATGTTCTTCCATTTGTTTGTGTCCTCTTTTATTTCACTGAGCAGTGGTTTGTAGTTCTCCTTGAAGAGGTCCTTCACATCCCTTGTAAGTTGGATTCCTAGGTATTTTATTCTCTTTGTAGCAGTTGTAAATGGGAGTACACTCTGATTTGCCTCTCTATTTGTCTTTTATTGTTGTATAAGAATGCTTGTGATTTTTTCACATTGATTTTGTATCCTGAGACTTTGCTGAAGTTGTTTATCAGCTTAAAGAGATTTTGGGCTGAGACGATGGGGTTTTCTAAGTATACAGTCATGTCATCTGCAAACAGGGACAATTTGACTTCCTCTTTTCCTAATTGAATGCCCTTTATTTATTTCTCTTGCCTGATTGCCCTGGCCAGAATTTTTAACACTGTGTTGAATAGGAGTGGTGAGAGAGGGCATCCTTGTCTTGTGCCGGCTTTCAAAGGGAATGCTTCTAGTTTTTGCCCATTCAGTATGACATTGGCTGTGGGTTTGTCACAGATAGCTCTTATTATTTTGAGATATGTTCCATCAATACCTAATTTATTGAGAGTTTTTAGCATGAAGCGCTGTTGAATTTTGTCAAAGGCCTTTTCTGCATCTATTGAGATAATCATGTGGTTTTGTCATTGGTTCTGTTTATGTGATGGATTACGTTTATTGATTTGCATATGTTGAACCAGCCTTTGTATTCCAGGGATGAAGCCAACTTGATCATGGTGGATAAGCTTTTTGATGTGCTGCTGGATTCGGTTTGCCAGTATTTTATTGACAATTTTCGCATCAGTGTTCATCAGGGATATTGGTCTAAAATTCTCCCTTTTTTGTGTCTCTGCCAGGCATTGGTATCAGGATGATCCTGGCCTCATAAAATGAGTTAGGGAGGATTCCCTCTTTTTCTATTGATTGAAATAGTTTCGGAAGAAATAGTACCAGCTCCTCGTTGTACCTCTGGTAGAATTTGGCTGTGAATCCATCTGGTCTTGGACTCTTTTTGGTTGGTAGGCTATTAATTAGTGCCTCAATTTCAGAGCCTGTTATTGGTCTAGTCAGAGATTCAACTTCTTACTGGTTTAGCCTTGGGATGGTGTATGTGTCCAGGAATTTATCCATTTCTTCTAGATTTTTTAGTTTATTTGCATAGAGGTGTTTATTCTCTGATGGTAGTTTGTATTTCTGTGGGATCGGTGGTGATATCCCCTTTATCATTTTTTTAATTGAGCCTATTTGATTCTGCTCTCTATTCTTCTTTGTCTTGCTAGCGGCCTATCAATTTTGTTGATCTTTTCAAAAACCAGCTCTTGCATTCATTGATTTTTGAAAGGTTTTTTTTTTCTCTATCTCCTTCAGTTGTGTTCTGATCTTAGTTATTTCTTTCCTTCTGCTAGCTTTTGAATGTGTTTGCTCTTGCTTCTCTAGTTCTTTTAATTGTGATGTTGGGGTGTCAATTTTAGATCTTTCCTGCTTTCTCTTGTGGGCATTTAGTGCTATAAATTTCCCTCTACACACTGCTTTAAATGTGTCCCAGAGATTCTGGTACATTGTGTCTTTGTTCTTATTGGTTTCAAAGTACATCTTTATTTCTGCCTTCATTTCGTTATTTACTCAGTAGTCATTCAGGAGCAGGTTGTTTAGTTTCCATGTAGTTCTGCGATTTTGAATGAGTTTCTTAATCCTGAGTTCTAGTTTGATTTCACTGGTCTGAGAGACAGTTTGTTGTGATTTCTGTTCTTTTACATTTGCTGAGGGTGCTTTATTTCCAATTATGTGGTCAATTTTAAAATAAGTGCGATGTGGTTCTGAGAAGAATGTATATTCTGTTGATTTGGTGTGGAGAGTTCTGTAGATGCCTATTAGGTCCACTTGGTGCAGAGCTGAGTTCAAGTCCTAGATATCCTTGTTAACCTTCTAACATTGATCTGTCTAATGTTGACAGTGGGGTGTTAAAGTCTCCCATTATTATTGTGTGGGAGTCTAAGTCTCTTTGTAGGTCTCCAAGGACTTGCTTTATGAATCTGGGTACTCCTGTATTGGGTGCATATATATTTAGGATAGTTAGCTCTTCTTGTTGAATTGATCCCTTTACCATTATGTAATGGCCTTCATTGTCTCTTTTGATCTTTGTTGGTTTGAAGTCTATTTTATCAGAGACTAGAATTGCAACCCCTGCTTTTTTATTGATTTTCATTTGCTTGGTAGACCTTCCTCCATCCCTTTATTTTGAGCCTATGTGTGTCTCTGCACTTGAGATGTGTCTCCTGAATACAGCACACCAATGGACTTTGACTCTTTATCCAGTTTGCCAGTCTGTATCTTTTAATTGGGACATTAATCCCATTTACATTTAAGGTTAATACTGTCATGTGTGAATTTGATCCTGTCATTATGATGTTAGCTGGTTATTTTGCTCATTAGTTGATGCAGTTTCTTCCTAGCATCAGTGGTCTTTACAATTTAGCATTTTTTGCAGTGGCTGGTACCAGTTGTTCCTTTCTATGTGTAGTACTTCCTTCAGGAGTTCTTGTAAGGCGGGCCTGGTGGTGACAAAATCTCTCAGCATTTGCTTGTCTGTAAAGGATTTTATTTCTCCTTCACTTATGAAGCTTAGTTTGGCTGGATATGAAATTCTGCGTTGGAAATACTTTAAGAATATTAAATATTAGCCCCCACTGTCTTCTGGCTTGTAGGGTTTCTGCCAGGAGAACCGCTGTTAGTCTGATGGGCTTCCCTTTGTGGGTAACCTGACCTTTCTCTCTGGCTGCCCTTAACATTTTTTCCATCATTTCAACCTTGGTGAATCTGACAGTTATGAGTCTTGGGGATTTTCTTCTCGAGGAGTATATTCGTAGTGTTCTCTGTATTTCCTGAATTTGTATGTGGGCCTGCCTTGCTAGGTTGGGGAATTTCTCCTGGATAATATCCTGAAGAGTGTTTTCCAACTTGGTTCCATTCTCCCCATCACTTGTAGGTACACCAATCAAATGTAGATTTGGTCTTTTCACATAGTCCCATATTTCTTGGAGGCTTTATTCATTTTGTTTTACTCTTTTTTTCTAAACCCGTCTTCTCACTGTATTTCATTAATTTGTTCTTCAATCACTGATACCCTTTCTTCCACTTGATTGACTTGGCTATTGAAGCTTGTGCATGTGTCACGAAATTCTTACGTATGCCACGGTTTTCAGCTACATCAGGTCATTTACAGTCTTCTCTATACTGTTTATTCTAGTTAGCCATTCATCTAACCTTTTTTCAAGGTTTTTAGCTTCCTTGCTATGGGTTAGAACATGCTCCTTTAGCTCAGAGTAGTTTATTATTACTGACCTTCTGAAGCCAACTTCTGTCAGCTCATCAAAGTCATTCTCCGTCCAGGTTTGTTCCATTGCTGGCGAGGAGCTGTGATCATTTGGAGGAGAAAAGGCACTCTGGTGTTTAGAATTTTCAGCTTTTCTACTCTGGTTTCTCCCCATCTTTGTGGTTTTGTCTACCTTTGGTCTTTGATGTTGGTGACCTACAGATGGGGTTTTGGTGTGGATGTCCTTTTTATTGATGTTGATGCTATTCCTTTCTGTTTGTTGGTTTTCCTTCTAACAGTCAGTCCCTCAGCTGCAGGTCTGTTGGAGTTTGCTGGAAGTCCACTCCAGACCCTGTTTGTCTGGGTATCACCGCACAGGGTGCTGAACTGCAAATATTGCTGCCTGATCCTTCCTCTGGAAGCTTCGTCCCAGAAGGGCACCCACCTGTAGGAGGTGTCAGTCGGCCCCTACTGGGAGGTGTCTCCCACTTAGGCTATACGGGGGTCAGGGACCTACTTGAGGAGTCAGTCTGTCCATTCTCAGAGCTCAAACACCATGCTGTGAGAACCACTGCTCTCTTAAGAGCTGTCAGGCAGGGATGTTTAAGTATGCAGAAGTTTCTGCTGCCTTTTGTTCAGCTATGCCCTGCCCACAGAGGTGAGGCCTATAGAGGTAGTAGGCCTTGCTGAGCTGCAGTGGGCTCCACCCACTTTGTGCTTCCTTGCCACTTTGTTTACCTACTTAAGCCTCAGCAATGGTGGATGCACCTCCCCCCGCCCGGCTGCAGCCTTGCAGGTGGATCTCAGACTTCTGCGCTAGCCGTGAGCAAGGTTCTGTGGGCGTGTAACCCGCCGACCCAGGTATGGGGGAGAATCTCCTGGTCTGCCAGTTGCTAACACCATAGGAAAAGTGCAGTATTTGGGCAGCAGTGTCCTGTTTTTCCAGATACAGTCTGTCAGGGCTTCCCTTGGGTAGGAAAGGGAAATCCCCAAACCCCTTGTGCTTCCCGGCTGAGGTGCCTCGCCCTGCTTCAGCTTGCCTTCTATGGGCTGCACCCACTTTCCAGCCAGTCCCAATGAAATGAACCAGGTATCTCAGTTGGAAATACAGAAATCAGCCGTCTTCTGCATTGATCACACTGGGAGCTGCAGACCGGAGCTGTTCCTATTCGACCATCTTGGAACGACTTGGTAATAAATTTTTAATACCAATTTCTAGCAACAATTTATTCATTGCTGCTATATAGATAAGTGACTCACTTGTATATTATCTTTGTATCCTGAAACTTTGATAGAATTGCTTAGTAGTTCCGGTTGTTGTTGTTGTTATTGTTTTTGATTAATACTTTCAAATCTTCTACGTAGGTAATTATGTGAACAAAGACAGTTTTATTTCTTCCTTCCCAATTTGTATACGTTTGATTTTATTTTCTTGTCTTATTGCATTAGCTAGGTTTTGTAGTAAAATGTTGAAAAGTAGTGGTGACAGGATACCCTTGCCTTGTTCTTAATCCCAGTTGAAAAGCTTTGCATTTTCACACCTAAGTATAAATGTTAACTATATGTTCTTTGCAGATTTTTTTATCAAGTTAAGAAAGTTTTCCTTTATTTATTGTTTAATATACTAGTAAAATTTTTGCTTCTTGTCCTCTGACCTTACGATGCTCTACTGGTCTAGAGGTTTTTGTTTCAAAGGGAGGATTGCTGCTATCAGGAAACAAAGCAATGATCCCACCAAACTGGGGGTTAGGTCTTTCACAGAGCCTCTTTGGGCTCCTTGTGCATCTGAATCATCAAAGGAGGGAGTTACTTTGCTGTCAGGAAAGATTACTTCTGATTAACAAGGGAAAATTAGCCTGCCATGACACAGGGGGTATAAGGAAGAATATGTCTCCCTCAGGGAAGGTCCCAGTGACAAAAGTTTCCATGGAAAAAACTACAACATCTCAATTCACACACAATTTCCAATGGCTTGGTCACTTTGGAAATGAAGATTTGGGTCACTGAATGAGGCAAAAACAAAATAAAACAAAACAAAAAACATGACCAGGTGAGGTGCTTGTTTGGAGTAAAGAGAATATGGAATGGGTAGTAGAAAGAGAGAATTATACAAACAAGCTCACCACTATGTTATCAGTTGCAGAGACAAGAGTTGTAATTGTTGAGTATTTCTTTCTTTTTTTAAAGATAAATAGGTTTGTGCATCAAATCTTTGCTTTCTACCCTCTCTTATCCCCTCATTATCTAACATAAGATGTATTGAATAATGGTTAACTTTAAATCACAGTATTTAAGATTTGAAGAAGAGTGAACTTCATCTAAGGACTGTGTCACCTCTTCTGGGAAAAGGACTACTGTGTTTTCAGTTGCAGGCACAATTGCTGTATCATGTTGCATGGAAGTATGACTTCATTGTTGTCTTTATTTAGAAATTAAGTATGATTTGGGGGATAGGTATGGACACCACGTTGACCAAGGTAAACTGCAATGGTTAATTAATATGTTAAATTTGCTAGGTTATGGTACACAATCATTTGATCATTTGCTATTAGGTTGGTTCAAAAGTAAGTACAGTTTTTGACATTACTTTCAAAAGCAAAAACTGTAGTGACTTTTGTACCAACTTAATACTTGAAGTGTTGCTGTGGAGGCATTTTGTAGATGTTTTAACAACTACAATCAGCTAATTTTAAGTAATAGACATTATTCTCAATGGTGGGCCTCATCCAATAAGTTGAAGGGCTTTAAGTGCAATACCGAAGTGTTTCTAAGAAGAAAAATATCTGTCTAAACACTGCAGCATCATTTGAAAGTTTTCAGTTTCTTGGCCTGCTCTACAAATTTTGGACTGGCCAACCCTTATAATAATCACACAAACCAATTCCAATTTCTTTAAGTACACCTCTGTATATACTCACGCTCACACTCATGGACATGCACATGCACACTCGTGTGCAAGCACACAGACACACACATATGGTGTATTAATGTATGGAAATATGTTTGATTTTTGTGTGTTGATCTTGCATCATGTGACCAAATAAACTCACTCATTAGTTTTAGTATTTGAGTTTTTGTTTTTTTGGGTTTTTTGGAGAGGAGACTTGTATTGAATTTCTATACAGACAATCATGACATTTGCAAATGAAGCATAATTTTATTTCTTTTGCTTCAATTAGTATGACTTTAATTCCCTTTTGTTTGCTTTATTGAACTTGTTAGAACATGCAGATCATGTTGAATAAGAGTAAAAAGAACAGACATCCTTGCCTTGTTCATGATCTTAGGGGGAAAGAATTTAGTCTATAACCAAGAGTGTTCATTGCTGGCTTTTTGTAGATTTTCTTTATCAAATTGAAGACTTTCACCATCAACTCCTACTTTTCTTGGAGTTTTTTTTTTTTAATATGAGTGGGTGTTGGATTTTTTTGTTGGCAGGGGGACGCGGTTTCACTCTGTCTCTCAGGCTGCAGTGCAGTGCCCTGCACTGCAGACTCCGCCTCCCGGGTTCAAACAATTCTCCTGCCTCAGCCTCCCAAGTAGGCTGGCTTACAGGCGCCCACCACCACACCTGGCTAATTTTTGTATTTTTAATAGATATGAGGTTTCACCATGTTGGCCAGGCTGGTCTCAAACTCCTGACCTCAGGTGATCTGCCCACCTCAGCCTCCCAAATTGCTGGTGTTACGTGCCTGAGTCATCGTGCCTGGCTGGTGTTGGATTTTTTAATGTTTTCCTCTGTTACTTAGCATAATCAGAATTTGCTTTTTTGACTTTTTGATATGGTGAATTGCACTGTTTGATATTCAAATATTCAACCAGGCCTGAAACCCTGAAATAAGTTTCAACTGGTCATAGTGTATAATTATTTTGTACATTTTTGGATTTTGTTTGCTAATATTTTTTGAGTATTTAGCATCTACATTTGTGAGAGCTCTTTGCCTGTGGTTTTTTCATGGTGGGGAGCAGGAAGCTGCCTTAACACACTTTTGTAGTTCAGTAATACTAGTCCTATAAAATGAGTTGGGCAATATTTCCTCATCTTCTGTTTTCTGGAAGAGATTATTAAAAATTTGTAATAATTCTTTAAAAATATTTGGTAGAATTATTAAAACCATCAGACTTCTGTGTCCAGAGATTTATATTTTAATAGAATTTTAATTATGAATTTAAGGTCTTTGATGGTTATGAGTCTATTCGGATCATCTTGAGTTTCAGTAGTGTGTGGTTTTTGAGGAATTGATCCATTTATCCTAAGTTGTCTAGTTTATGAGTGCAAAGTATTTCTGAAGTATTCCCTTGTTATCTTGTCCTTGGCTGTAGAATCTCTAGTGATATCTTCTATTTTATTTCTGACAGTGGCAATTTTTGTCCTTTGTTCTTTTACATTTGTTAGTGTTATTGGAGATTTACTAATTTTATTGATTTATTTTAAAGAATAAGCTTTTCATATCATTTGATTTTTCTGCATTTTTAAACAATTTTGCATTTTATTAATTTTTGTTATTTTATTAACTGCTTCCTTTGGCTTGTTTTGTGTTTATTTTGCTTTTCTTTTTGTAGTTCCTTGTGATTAGAAATTAAATTATTCATTTAATCCCTTTCTATGCTTTTATGCCTTCCACATATTTTGCTATGCTTTTCCTTTTCTTTCAAATTCAATTTTGTTTTATTCATTTATATATATATTTAAGTTATACCATTTGATGTTTTGATATGCATATACATAGTTAAATGATTATTATATTCAAGCCAATTAACATATCCATCATCTTATGAAGTCATCTTTTAAAATGTGTGAGATCCCCTAAAATCTCCATTAGCCAATTTTCTGTGTATAATACAATATTATTAACTATAGTCTTCATGCTGTAGATTAGTTCTCTAGACTTATCCTGCATAGCTGCACAATTGTACCTTTTAACCTTCATCTCTCCATTTCTGCCCTAACTCCTGCCTCTGTTAACTACCATTCTACCATGTATCTATGTACTATACTTCTTTATATATGCCACACATGTATTCGCCCATTTTTGAATTGCTATAAAGAAATACCTGAGACTGGGTAATTTGTAAGGAAAAGAGGTGTAATTGTCTCATGGTTCTGCAGTCCATACAGGAAACATGGCAGCATCTGCTTCTGGGGAGGCCTCAGGGAGCTTTTACTTATGGTGGAAGGCAAAGCAGGAACAGGCATCTTACATGGCAGGAGCAGGAGCAAGAGAGGGAGGAGAGTGTGCCACATATTGTTAAACAACCGGATCTTGGAAGAACTCAGTCACTATCATGTGGACAGTACCAAGGAGGAAATCCACTTCCGTGATCCAATTACTTCCCACTGGGCCCCACCTCCAACACTGGGAATTACAATTCAACATGAGATGTGGGTGGAGACACAGATACAAACCATATCAACATATAAGAGAGGTCAGGCAGGGTGTTTCTTTTTCGATCTGGCTTATTTCACTTAACATAATATTCTCCAGGTTCATCCATGTTGCTACAAATGGCAGATTATTTTTAAGGCTGAATAACCCATTGCACATAATTTCTTTGTCCAACCATTCATTGATGGATGCTTAGGTTTTTTTCATATCTTGCCTATTGTGAATAATGCTGCAATGAACATGAGTGTGCAGCTGCTCTCTACAAGATGCTCATTTCATTTCCTTTGAGTGTATACCCAGCAGAGAGATTTCTTGGTCATATGGCAGTTCTATTTTCAATTTTCTTAGGAAACGCTACGCTGTTTTTTCATTATGGCTGCAATAATTTACATTCCTATCAACAGTGTTTTCTTTTCTTCACATCCTTACCAACTTACCAACGCTTGCTGTTTCTTGTCTTTCTAATAATAGCCATCCTATTGGGTAGGTGATATTGTAATTTTGAGTTGCATTACTCTGATCATTAGTGATGGTGAACACCTTTTCATATACTTATTGGTCATTTTTATATCTTCTTTAGAGTTGTCTATTCAGGTTCTTTGCCCATATTTTAACTGGATTATTCATTTTTTGCTATTGAATTCTGTGAGTTCCTTATATATTTCTAATATTAACTCCTTTTTTGATAAATGGTTTGCAAATATTTTCTCGCAATCTATATGCTGCCCTTTCATTTTATTAATTATCTACTTCCTGTTTGTGGAAACTTTTTACTTTGATGTAGACCTACTTTTTTACCTTTTCTTTTGTTTCCTGTGCTTTGTTATCCTATCCAAAATCTCACTGTGTAGACCAACATCAAGAAGCTTTCCCAGCCGGGCCTGTTGGCTTAAGCTTGTAATCCCAGCATTTTGGGAGGTCAAAGTGGGAGGATTACTTGAGCCAAGGATTTTGAGACTAGCCTGGGCAATGTAGTTACACGTGGTCTCTAAAAATTTTTTTAAAAATTAGCTGGGCATGGCAGCACACATCTGTAGTCCCAGCTACTTGGGAGGCTACTTAGGAGGACTGCAAACCAAGAGGTCAAGGCTGCAGTGAGCTGTGATCATGCCACTGCACTGCAACCTGAGTGACAGAGTGAGACACTGTTTAAAAATTAAATAAATGAATAAAAATAAAATAATTTTTAAAAAGAGGCTCTCCCCGTTTATTTTCCTCTAGGAGATTTTGGTTTCAAGTCTTACATGTAAATCTTTAATGCATTTTGAGTTGAATTTTGTGTATGGTGTAAGGTAATGATCCAGTCTTACACTTTTGCATGTGGTTAGACAGTTTTCCCAGCATCATTTATTGAAGAAGACTATTCTTTCTCTTTTGTATGTTTTTGGTACCGTTTTCAAAAATTAGTTGACCATATATGCTTGGTTTTATTTCTGGGGCTCTCTATTTTGTTCCACTCGTTTATCTGTCTGTTTTATGTCGGTACTATGCTGTTTTGATTACTGTAACTTTATGATGTAATTTGAAATGAGACAGAGTGATGCGTTCAACTTTGTTTTTCTTTTACAAGATTGCTTTGGCTACTTGGGGTCTTTTGTGGTTCCATATGGATTTTAGTATTGTTTTTTCAATTTCTCAAAATTGCCATTGCAATTTTGATAGAGAATATATTGAATCTGCATATTGCTTTGGGTAGTGTGGAAATTTTCACAATATTAATTTCCTGTTCAGTTTTGTCTTTTAAAAAAATCTCCTTTGAGATGCATGGACTGCATTTAAAAATGTGTGTGTTTTTTAAGTTTCCACATTTTTATAGATTTTCTTGTTGTCTTTCTGTTACTGATTTCTAGCTTGATTCTATTAGGCCCAGAAAACACAACTTGCAAGATTTAAAGTCTTTTAAATTTGTTGAGGCTCTTTTATGGCCCTGGCTATGGTCTATTTTTATAAATCTTCCGTGGACTCTTTAAAAAATGTGTTCTGATGTTTTTGGTTGATGAGTTCTATATATGTCAATTAGATTCTGTTGTGTGGTTCAGATCTATATTCTTGCTAATATTTTTTCTAAAAGTTCTGTTAGTTGCTGAATAAGCAGTGTTGAATTTTCCAACTGTAATTATGTATATTTTCCTTATAGTATTAATAGTTTCTACTGCATGTATTTTGAGGCTCTTTTATTTGGTGCCCACACTTTAGGATTGTTATGTTTTCTTGGTGAGTTGAGTCGTTTATTATGTAACATATCTCTGTCTTTAATAATTTTCTTTGCTCTGGAGGCTACTTTATCCAATATTGATATGTTTTCCTTGCCTTTTTTAAATTAATATTTGCATGTATGTCTTTTTCCATCCTTCTACATTCAGCCTACTTAATGTCTGAATCTGAAGTGACTTTCTTGTAAGCAGCATATGGTTAATGGTGTATTCCATTGGTCCCCAACCTTTTTGGCACCAGAGACTGGTTTTGTGGTTTAATGGAAGACAATTCTTCCACGGACCAGGGGGTGATGGTTTTAGGATGAAATTGTTCAACCTCAGATCATCAGGCATTAGTTAGATTCTCATATGGAATGTGTAACCTAAATCCCTTGATTGCACAGTTTACAATAGTGTTCAAGCGCCTATGAGAATTTAATGCCACTGCTATTCTGACAGGAGGTGGATGGAGCTCAGGTGGTCATGCTCTCTCTCCCACTGCTCACCTCCTGCTGTGCGGGCTAGTTTCTTGTACAGGTCCACAGCCCCGTGGGCTGGGAACCCCTGATGTGTTCTGCTTATCAACTCTGCCAATCTCTATTTTGATTGGTACATTTAGCATATTTACATTTAAGGTAATTATTGATATGTTACAGCTTAAATCTGTCATTTCATTACTTCTATTGTGTTTGTTTTCTCTGGGTCTTGTTCAGCTTAACTTTCTGTAGGTTTCTTACATTTTTACAGTATTCTTTTGTGATTTACTTACAGTGTGTTTGAGTATATTTCTTTGCATAGTTTCCATAGTGGTTGCTGTGAGCATAGTCTTCTGGCATCAACACCTTGCCACTCTGAATAAAGTGTGAAAATATCACCTTCACTTAGGGCTTTTACCCTCATCAACTTTTAAATATCATTGTCTTGGATATCAGATGATATTTTCTTTCAATATCAAATATAATTTATAAAACTCATGAGGAAAAGAATTGCCTATTGAATGTACTCATAATTCTGTTCTGTCTGTTGTTTTTTCTTATTTCCTGATATTCCAAGATCCTTTCCTTTATATTAGGTTCTTTTCATTTGAATAATTTTCTTAAGACAGTTTTTAATGGTAAGTCTGTTAGTGACAAATTCATTCTGTTTGTATCTTTGGGGAAAGTTTTTTTTTTCTCTGTTATTAATAAAGAATAGTTTCAGCAGCTATAGAATTTATAGTTGACAGTTATTTTCTTTTGGCACTCGAAAAAACAATCCACTTCCTTTTGGCCCCTATGGTTGAGAAACTCACTGTGATTTGAATGTGTGTTCCTCTATGTTAATGTGCTGCTTGTCTCTTGGATATTCTTTTTTTTTTTTTTTCTCTTTGCTTTATTTCTCAAAAGTTCAATTACGGTGTGTCTTGGCATGGATTATATCAGTTTATCTTGATTTGTATTTATTCAACCTTTTGAACTTACAGGTTTTTGTCTTATACTAAATTTGGTGATTTTTCTTCCATTATTTCTTTAAATACTCTCAGTGTGACCCACTCTCTTTCTTCTATCCTGATAATATGAATGTTAAATCTTGTGTTATTATGCTACAAGACCCCAGGCTTTGTCCATTTTTTTTCTGCCTATTTTCCCCTTGATATCCAGTTGGGGTGAATCCCATTGCTTTATTCTTAAATTAATTGATTTATCCTCTGTCATCCTCAGTCTATTATTGAGTCCACCCAATAAGTTTTATTTCTATTTTGTATTTTTCAGTTCTAAAATTTCCATTTGTTTCTTCATTTTAAAATCATTTCTATTTATTTGTTGAGTTTTATACTTTTTCATTTGTTTAAAGATAATTTGTTATTAATGAAATATTTTTATTATGGATTCTTTAAAATCTTTTTTCAGTAATTTCAGTATCTGAATTTTCTTGGTA